>NC_000005.10:176363106-176513552 GCF_000001405.40 Homo sapiens | reverse complement strand
CTCTTCAGCACCGTCCTTCAAGACCACGCACCAAAGTGGCAGAAAAGAAATACAGATCCTGGCCGGGCATGGTGGCTCACGCCTGTAATCCCAGCACTTTGGGAGGCCGAGGCGGGTGGATCACGAGGTCAAGAGATTGAGACCATCCTGGCCAACATGATGAAACCCCATCTCTGCTAAAAATACAAAAATTAGCTGAGCGTGGTGGTACGCGCCTGTAGTCCCAGCTACTCGGGAGGCTGAGGCAGGAGAATCGCTTGAACCCGGGAGGCGGAGCTTGCAGTGAGGCGAGATCATGCCACTGCCCTCAGGCCTGGGCGACAAAGTGAGACTCCATCTCAAAAAAAAAAAGGAAAGAAATACAGATCCTGCCTCCTGGTGTCAAGATTCATGGGAAAATGAGTGGCCTTTGCTTAAGGGTTTTTTGAAATGGCATCTTCAAGGGAAAACCAGGTTTTAGTTAAAGGGGAAGAAACCTGGGAGTTTTGGGGCATCATTCTGTTAGTGAAGACAGACAGGCAGGGGAGGGCAGAAGGAAGACTGGGAGGGGCTCAGCAGTGCAGTGGCCGAGCTCACAGGCATGAGGGACCCTGGGGGCCCGAGGCTCCCTCAGGATAAAAGTGCACATGGAGCTCTGCCTGCCACGCCAGAGAGACGTGTGAAGAAAAAAATGCCAGGCACTCAGTCACGTCTAGGGTAAATCTTCAGTAGTAAGCTACAACTGTTTTGTAAGCAGCAACAGGAGGTATTCCAAACACCTACTACGTGCCAGGCGTTCTGCAACAGCAATTCATTTCAACTTCACAGCAATGCCACAATCAACCCTATTTTACAGATGAGATGTAGGTCTAGGGAGTTGAAGCCAGTCACTTGGCCACAGTCATGGCCAGAGCCAGGATTTAAACCCAAATGTTGGCCGGGCGCGGTGGCTCACACCTGTAATCCCAGCATTTTGGGAGGCCGAGGCAGGCAGATCACTTGAGGTCAGAGGTTCGAAACCAGCTTAGCCAACATGGTGAAACTCCATCTCTACTAAAAATACAAAAATTGGCTGGGCATGGTGGTACATGCCTGTAATCCCAGCTACTTGGGAGGATAAGGCAGGAGAATTGCTTGAACCCGGGAGGTGAAGGTTGCAGTAAGCCGAGATCGCACCACTGCACTCCAGCCTGGGCAGCAGAGCAAAGACTCCATCTCAAAAAAAAAAAAAAAAAAAAAAAAAAAAAAAAAAAAAAGTGTAATCTGGCCTTGGAGTTTTGAGTCCTCTGATTCTGTTCATTGATAGCAAAACTTTGTGGGTTTTTTTTGAGATAGAGTTTCACTCTTGTTGCTCAGGCTGGAGTGCAATGGCGCAATCTTGGCTCACTGCAACCTCTGCCTCCTGGGTTCAAGCGATTCTCCTGCCTCAGCCTCCCAAGTAGCTAGGATTACAGGCATGCACCACCATGCCTGGCTAAAACTTTTATACTCAAGTTTCTTTTCTTTTTTTGAGACAGAGTCTCACTCTGTCGCCCAGGCTGGAGTGCAGTGCGAGATCTCAGCTCACTGCAACCTCCGTCTCCTGGGTTCAAGCAATTGCCTCCTGAGTAGCTGGGACTACAGGCATGTGCCACCATGCCCGGGTAATTTTTTTATTTTTTAGTAGAGACGGGGTTTCACCATGTTGGCTAGGCTGGTCTCTAACTCCTGACCTCAGGTGATCTGCCCACCTCAGCCTCCCAAAGTGCTAGGATTACAGGCATTAACCACCATGCCCAGCTTATATTTAAGTTTCAAAATCAATTGTGAAATGTTTTTAGTGGCTTCTCAGCTTAAACTCTTGCACACTTTATTAAACTGAGCAATAGAGTTCTAGTTTACACTTAATGCACATTAAAAAAATCAGGGCCCCAAATCTTTGGCTAGTAACACGGGGACAACTCTGAAGGTACCAAGAATCTGTACCCACAAAACTGAGTATCTGCACAGGACAAAGGCAGAAAACTGAGGCTTATATTTCCTCTCAGAAATGAAAACATGAGGCCGGGTGCGGTGGCTCATGCCTGTAATCCCAGCACTTTGGGAGGCTGAGGCGGGCGGATCACGAGGTCAGCCTGGCCAACATGGTGAAACCCCATCTCTACTAAAAATACCAAAATTAGCTAGGCATGGTAGAATCGCTTGAAACTGGGAGGCAGAGGTTGCAGTGAGCTGAGACCACACCACTGCACTCCAGCCTGGGCAACAGAGCAAGACTGTATCAAAAAAAAAAAAAAAAAGGCTGGGCACTGTGGCTTACACCTGTAATCCCAGCACGTTGGGAGGCCGAGGCAGGAGGATCACGAGGTCAGGAGATCGAGACCATCCTGGCTAACACGGTGAAACCCCGTCTCTACTAAAAATACAAAAAATTAGCTGGGCGTGGTGGTGGGCGCCTGTAGTCCCAGCTACTCGGGAGGCTGACGCAGGAGAATGGCCTGAACCTGGGAGGCGGAGCTTGCAGTGAGCAGAGATCACACCACTGCACTCCAGTCTGGGCAACAGAGTGCGACTCTATCTCAAAAAAATTAAAATAAAATAAAAATTAAAATAAAAACATGAGGCCGGACGTGGTGGCTCACACCTGTAATCCCAGCACTTTGGGAGGCCGAGGCAGGCGGATCACGAGGTCAGGAGATCAAGACCATCCTGGCTAACACGGTGAAACCGCGCCTCTACCAAAAATACAAAAAATTAGCCGGGCGCGGTGGCGGTCGCCTGTGGTCCCAGCTATTCAGGAGGCTGAGGCAGGAGAATGGCGTGAACCTGGGAGGCAGAGCTTGCAGTGAGCTGAGATCCCGCCACTGCACTCCAGCCTGGGGCGACAGAGGGAGACTCTGTCTCAAAAAAATAAATAAAAATAAATTTAAAAAAAGAATAAAAACATGAGCAAAAATACCTAGGAGAATGCCAACCATCCAGAATCTGTAAATCAGAAGAGGCTTTTTCTAGACACTCCTTTGCAAGGACACAAGTTGGTTCCAACAAAAGTGACAAATTCCTTAAGAAAATGTTATTCCAAGAAAATATTCTTACAAAATACACTCCCATAGAAGGGGAACAAACACTTAATGACATCTACATATCAGGAGCCTCATATACATTTACTTGATTGAATCTATAAACCTATCCTGAGGTGGACGGCATTATCTTCATTTATAGCTGGGGAAATTCAAGTTCAGGGAAGCTAGAGAATTTGCCCGAGGTTGCAAACCTGACAAACTAGAGAGCCCAAATTTGAACCCAGGCCTGTCTGCTCTCTCTCTCCATCATACTAAGTTGCTATTTTTCCACAGGGATACAACAGAGAAGACCTAACTCCATCCTTCTCTTTGACTCTCCCTTCCTTCTTGGCAATGCCATGCCATGCTGTTCCCTCCCGGTGTTTTTCAACCTCTCCTTCACACATAGAAAATTATCTACCACATCGGTCCCACACAGAAAGATCCACAGCCTGTTATGAAGTTTTTGCTATAAAACATTTAATGTTAACCTACAATACAATGTAAACTTTTATGAAAAAAATTTAAAGTACACTAGATTTCTTCAGTAAATTATCACATGACTATTCAGGCGCAGTACAAGTTGGGGCACTGCATCCTTTGTGGATGGATTTCCGTTGCTGTGTTCCTCACAAGTCCTAAAAAAACCAGTTGTAGAGCGGAGCTCCTTGTTCAAGCACCGGATAATGATGCCCCTGATTTTGCATTCTGGGGGTTATCGCTCCTTCTCAGTCATTTTCTGAAACTCTTTGCTTGGCCTTGGCACCATTAGCAATTTTCACAACTGCTCAATTGAAGGTTCTAGGTTCTTTTTAGCTTAGTTTTTAAGAGACAAGTGTTATCCTCTGGCCATCTCTTATTCAAATATCATGGTGGAGGCAAGCAAGGAGAAAGAAGTATTTGCTAGAGGAAATTCTGCAGAAGTGGAAGAAAAGACCAGAAGGGCTCCACTGAGGGTACAAATATTCAACTGACTCCAATCGAGTGTCTTTGCTTGGTCACTTCCCATGGTTATTCAGCTCAATCTACAACTTCAGTCGTGGGAGTGCAGAACAAAACTTGAAACAAGTGCTTTTAGTTGATGATTTGCCATTTGGAAACAACAGCTGAAATATCCCAGAGGTGATGTGGAAACAAGAGCAAATGCTTGCAGATCACTGGCTTCTCAGTGTCTTCTCCCTCGCAGGTCTCATCAAAATCCCAAAAGTCCTTAGGAGTAACACAGATTGTACTGGCATTAAGTGACAAAATGTGCAGCCTGTATTTGACTGAGGAGGAAAGGAAATGGCACCTAGGCAGCAGCGCTAGGGTCAGCAAGGAGACCGGCCTAGGGTCTCAGTAAAGCAGAACTGTTTCAAATGGGACTAGACCGGGGCATGTGCTTCCGGTGAATCCTCTTGAAACCTAAAGTAAATGGGAAGGCCGCCCTAACAGTTGTACTGACATAAAGGGAGACCCTTCTTAATATTCTGGCAGCTGACTTCCTTCACTGAACAACTATTATCAAAAGGCGAGAGGCATAAAGTGCACACTGTAGAATAAGAAGAGACTGAATTATGATGGAAAAAAAAAATCGTAACTTCCCCAAAGAGGTGTGGACAGTGTACCTAGCCTCACAAAGGTCCTTAATACCCTCCTGTGTGCTGCCAGGGAACAGCTGTGAATTCCAGATGGGGAGGAAGGCTCTGACTTAAGTGGAAAAATTCCTCTGCATGGTTGTCAGCAGGAAGGTTTCACGTAAGGTTATCCTTATGTGGAGAACATGGGTTATCCTGCTGTTCACGCCAGATACATTTTATTGACAGCAGTCAGATGGTGATTCCACTCATCTGGCCTTGGGACAGCAGAAAACGAAGTGGAAGAACAATAGCTGGCCAGGGACAGAATTAAATTTTCCTAGAGATGGTGTTCTAGACAGCTATGCCAAGGCCACTGGGAATTTCTCAGGCTCTCCAAGTTAATTTCTGTGGGGTGCCTTACTCTGCCATGTGGGATTTACCCCAACAACTGAGGACTGCAGTGGATAGTAACCATATAATTGCTACCAAAAACAGTGGTCCTTAGGTTTTAGTTAAGCAAGAGAGAAAGCCTTGAGACTACAACTCCAGCAAGTTAGGCTTTATGTTGATCTGAACCCCCCGCCCTCACAGCATTCTAGGAACTACAGTAACGTCAGTCGGTTGCAGTGGTACAACGAGCCTGCACCAGTCTAGCTACAGAACACTTTGGAATACTTGTCAGAGCGCACTGGCATCTGTTAATACATGGCCTGACCCATGTACCCATTACCATAAACTCAACCACAGACGAGACATCCAGAGGTTAAAAAAAACCCTATTACTTCAACATAGCAATAGAGAGAAAGGATAAAAGCTGCCTCCAGAAGGTGGCTGCATCAGAAATGAAAATGTGCCTTCCAATAGATTACACAGGCTGGGAGTTCTGTCTTGGCTCCCTTCAAGGCCTCTGGTTCTATCCTTAAAACAATAATACACTTCCACTGAGACAGGCAGGGCACTCTCCTGTGGTTCTGCTGGCTCCACCACAGGCCCTGCTAGTCCTTTGGAAAGGCACCAGGCTTGGCAATTCAGGAAAGCCCAGGGCTGGGGGGAGCAGCATGCACATGTCAGAAGAGGAATGAAGAGCTGCTATCCTTTGGTTCAGACCCCATAACCACCACCTGGTACAGACTCCAAGGAAAAGCTGCAGTTGTGTGTAAAGGTGAGTTCCACCACATACATAGGTGTATCTTTACATATACAGCCTTTGTGGGGCCACAAACCCAGATTTCCTCCCACTGCTCCAAGTGGGGTGCACAGGTGGTAAGAAAGGACAGCAAGAGTTGGACCAAAAAGAATGACCTCTCTGGGAACGTGAGAGGGACAATGGCAGAAATAAGCACAAACCAGCCCGGGGCACTTTTATTACACTATTGTGGGCTAAGGAGCCCAGGGCATAAACTCATGGGTTTAAAGAATTGGCTCTTTATCAAATAAAGGAAAAAAATATATATATATACCTATGTCAGCCTCATTCCTTTGGTCATTACAAAACAGAAATAAAAGTTATTGAAAACTTGTGGGCAGTTCAAGGAACATCTCTGCTTCTCTGCTCTGTGCTTTCTCTTCCCTCTCTTCCCCAGAGGCAGGAGAAGCAAGTCCTCAGGAGATGCTGCAAGTAGCTGGTTGATGGAGGTTTTTCACTTTTATTTTTCATAAAAGCAAGAATGAATGAGAACTAGTGGGAATGTCCCCTTCCCAGCTGGGACAATGGATGGGTCGAAGGTGAAGAGTCTCTGTTCACTGGAAGGTGCGTGCACAGAGGCCACAGGAAGGGTGGGCTTGCCAAGCGGGTACGTTTGTTGCTAACCTTGCGCGCACACACAGGTTGTGACTCTTACGGGCAGCATGGTTTCTGATCCTTCCTAAGGATGCAGCAGTCTTTTAAAAAAAATATTGTATTATAATAATAATAATAATATGAATTTCTCTCTCTTGTTTTTTTTTTCTGACTTGCTGTTGTTTTCTTTTTTCCCCATTTCTTTTAGGGACTGGGGTAGGAGGGGACAGGAAGAAAAAAATGTCATTCGTCAGTTAGGTCCTGAACAAAAAGAACTTCTGTGTGGCTGAGTCCGGCCTCCTGTAGCGTAGGGGGATTGGGCCACTCCTCTGAAGGGATGCAGGGCAGCACTCGCCTGGGAAAATTGGCTTCAATCTGAAACTTTTCTGGGCTTTCCTTCAAGGAGAATAAGAAGTCGTGGATTACCTGCAGAGGTCATATAGAAAAAGAAGGGTGGTGAGAAAAACAGAAATACACACACACACACGCACACACGCACACACAACTCTGAAGTCAAATATACCCCAACTCTCCCCAGGATGACTCTATAGGAAAGAATCACATTACACTGGAATTCTAATCTTTTCATTTCCCATGGCATATACATGGGGCAGCCCTTTTAAAAGAAATTACACAAGCCCAACACTAGTCCTACTCTGAATTAATCTGTCTCTTCTTTGAGGTGTCTGATAAAATGCTAACTTAGAAATAATCACAAAGTTACAGAAAAGTTGGAAGTATAGGACACTTAATTTTTTTCTTTAACTCAGTTGAGAGTGAAGTGCTAACTGTAAGACACATGGCCTCAAGTATTCTGAGGTGATCACGGACTAATAGGACAATCTTCTATATAACCACAACTTGGCTCTCAAAATCAGGAAATGTAACTGACACATTATTTCTATAACATATTATTATTCAGGCCCTATTCAAGTTTTGCCAATTATCTTTTATATAATAGCAAAGGGATCCAGTTTTTTTTTTTTGTTTTTTTTTTTTTTGAGAGAGTCTCGCTCTGTTGCCCAGGCTGAATGGAGTGCAATGGCGCCATCTCAGCTCACCACAAGCTCCGCCTCCCAGGTTCACGCTATTCTCCTGCCTCAGCCTCCTGAGTAGCTGGGAGTGCAAGCGCCCGCCACCACGCCTGGCTAATTTTTTCGTATTTTTAGCAGAGATGGGGTTTCACCGTGTTAGCCAGGATGGTCTCGATCTTCTGACCTTGTGATCCTCCCGTCTCGGCCTCCCAAAGTGCTGGGATTACAGGCGTAAAGTGCTGAGATTACAGGCGTGAGCCACCGTGCCCAGCCAAGGATCCAGTTTTAAGCCCATCAATCA
The DNA here is from genome assembly GCF_000001405.40 of Homo sapiens. Classification (NCBI taxonomy): domain Eukaryota; kingdom Metazoa; phylum Chordata; class Mammalia; order Primates; family Hominidae; genus Homo; species Homo sapiens. The sequence continues at coordinate 176,505,858 of NC_000005.10, read as the reverse complement.
ACGTGTGGATAAAGAAACTGTGATATATATATATGATGGAATACTTCTCAGCCATAAAAAGGAATGAATTAATGGCATTCACAGCGACCTTGATGAGAGTGGAGACTATTATTCTAAGCGAAGTAAGTAGAAATGGAAAATCAAACATTATATGTCCTCACTGATATGTGGGAGCTAAGCTATGAGGACGCAAAGGCAAAAGAATGATACAATGGACTTTGGGGACTTGTGTGGAAGAGTGGGAAGGGGTGAGGGATAAAAGACTACAAATAGGGTATAGTGTATACTGCTCGGGTGATGGGTGCACCAAAATCTCACAAATCACCACTAAAGAACTGACTCATGTAACCAAACACCACCTGTTCCCCAATAACCTATGGACAAAAAAATACAATACAATAAATGTGTTGCACCTCATATGAATCTCCTGTCTGTGGGAATGCCCTCCTTACCCTGCTCTGGCTCTGACAAGGCACAGTTAAAATCCTTAGTGAGAAGGGAGGCAGTATTAGGAGAGTCCAGGATGCTAAAACTTAAACTGTGTGTGAGATGCCTGTGGAACAGGCCACTGTCATCTCTCCCTGTCCCTGCTCTGTGGCCTCTCCATCTAGCATTCTACTTCTAACAACAATTCTGCCAACCTCATTCAGATCAACCCCAAAGATGACGAACATACCATTCAAGTTATTTTTCCTTTTTGGGAGGAATCTATTCCATTTTCTTTTTGATACATCTCTCAAAATGATGAATTCTCTGGGTTTTATACCCCTCTGTGTAAAGCAGTCCTTCATTTCTTAAACTTACTGCTCTAGGGAACTTTTTTTTTTTTTTTTTTCCCAGACAGGTCTTGCTCTGTCGCCCAGGCTGGAGTGCAGTGGTGCAAACACGACTCACTGCAGCCTCGACCTCCCAGGTTCAAGCAATCCTCCTGCCTCAGCCTCCCAAGTAAGTGGGATAACACATGTCCAACACCATGCCTGGTTAACTTTTAAAATTTTTTGTAGAGACAGAGCCTTGCCATGTTGCCCTCTTCAGGGATTTTTAAAGGGCTATAATCCAGAATTTAAATAGTAAATCCATGTTCCTCTTGTCTAATCCATTCATGATTTTATAAACTTCTCATATTTTAGTCTATCAACCTAACTCGTTTTCAGTTTCCTTCTCTCTTTGCAATTCCCATTAATGTTCACTCTTTCTTAACATGCATCAATTAGACTTACACCAAGTATTCTTGGTATGAAACCAATATGAGTGAAAAAAATACCTTTTTTTTTTGAGATGGAGTCTTGCTCTGTTGCCCAGGTTGGAGTGCAGTGGCAGGATCTCGGCTCACTGCAACTTCTGCCTCCTGGGCTCAAGCGATTTTCCTGCCTCAGCCTCCCAAGCAGCAGTGACTACAGGCGCGCACCACCATGCCCAGCTAATTTTTGTGTTTTTTGTAGAGATGGGGTTTCACCATGTTGGCCAGGCTGGTCTCGAACTCCTGACTTCGTGATCTACCCACCTTGGCCTCCCAAAGTAGGCTGGGACTATGGGCGTGAGCCACCAAGCCCGGCCAGAGACAGGGTTTCATTAGGCTGGTCTCGAACTCCTGACCTCAGGTGACCCACCCGTCTCGGCCTCCCAAAGTCCTGGGATTAGAGGCGTGAACCACCATGCCTGGCCAAAAAAATACTTTCTGATTTCTTTTTAATCTCTGCTTGAGAATACCTAACACTTGTACAAACTTGGCTTTTGTTTTTCTTTTTTTTTGAGATGGAGTCTCACTCTGTCGCCCAGGCTGGAGTACAGTGGCACGATCTCGGCTTACTGTAACCTCCGCCTCCCAGGTTCAAGCCATTCTGTATTTTTGTATTTTCAGTAGAGACTGGATTTCACCATGTTGGCCAGGCTGGTCTCGAACTCCTGGCCTTAAGTGATCCGCCTGCCTTGGCATCCCAAAGTGCTGGTATTACAGGCATGAGCCACCGCACTCGGCCGGCATTTTTTATTACTAATGGCAAAGGGTTGATAACCATCAGGAAACAGATTACATTACTACTAGAGGTCCCTTTTGGTTTGCAATGGACAGAAAAATTAGTTCTGGGCTTTATCTCTTATACATTTGTTTAAAACAAAGTCAGCTGCCTCTTTTATGACCACTCATGGGACCTGGAGATTTTTCTGCAGCGTACCCCTTTTATCTTAGCATTGCACCACTTTCCAGAGCTGAGCATTACCTACAAATCTGTCACTCCTGGAGATTATTTACAAAGGACCAAGTTCACAGGAAGGTGATACAAGGTCTTTTTTTTTTTTTTTTTGAGACAGAATTTTGCTTTTTTCACTCAGGCTGGAGTGCAATAGCACGATCTCCATTCACTGCAACCTCCGCCTCCCAGGTTCAAGCGATTCTGCAGCCTCAGCCTCCTGAGTAGCTGGGATTACAGGCCCACGCCATCATGCCTGGCTAATTTTTGTATTTTTAGTAGAGATGGGGTTTCACCATGTTGGCCAGGCTGCTCTCAAACTCCTGACCCCTGGTGATCCGCCCACCTCAGCCTCCCAAAGTGCTGGGATTACAGGCATGAGCCACTGCACCCGGCCGACACAAGGTCTTTAAGGGTACTAAAAAACACTACAGCATTATTTGGTTTTATGTAATTATCTCTGTGAATGTTAAATTCCAGGCCAGCACCACCAGGGCACTGCTACATTACACACTTCTTTCCATCTCTAAGACCCATTTATGACCAAGCATTTCTCTTAGACTAATCTCATGTGGCCATGATACTCTTTTTTATTTTTATTTATTTTATTCATTTTTTTTTTGAGACACAGCCTCGCTCTGTCGCCCAGGCTGGAGTGCAATGGCGCAGTCTCGGTCCACTGCAACCACTGCCTCCCGGGTTCAAGCAATTCTCCTGCCTCAGCCTCCCGAGTAGCTGGGACTACTGGCACTCGCCACCACACCCAGCTAATTTTTGTACTTTTAGTAAAGACGGCGTTTCACCATATTGGCCAGGCTGGTTTGGAACTCCTGACCTTGTGATCCGCCTGCCTCGGCCCCCCAAAGTGCTGGGATTACAGGCATGAGCCACCACGCCCAGCCGATACTCTTTTTTAAAAAACAGCTTTTAGTGAGGAACCCATTTAAAAGTCTTCAAGGATCAAATAGTTAATGAATGGTTGGTTCCCTTTTGGCCACAAGCCTATTCTGTTCCACAGTTCTAACAGATTTTTCCTCCAAAACTCTCAGGAGAGTAAATTTTTGTTAGGTTTTTCATTCTTTTTTTTTTGAGCCAGAGTTTCACACTTGTTGCCCAGGCTGGAGTGCAATGGCATGATCTCGGCTCACCGCAACCTCTGCCTCCTGGGCTCAAGCGTTTCTCCTGCCTCAGCCTCCCAAGTCGCTGAGATTACAGGCACATGCCACCACACCCAGCTAATTTTGTATTTTTAGTAGAGACAGGGTTTCTCCATTTTGGTCAGGCTGGTCTTGAACTCCCGACCTCAGGTGATCCGCCTGCCTCGGCCTCCCAAAGTGCTGGGATTATAGGCGTGAGCCACAACGCCTGGCCTAGGTTTTTCATATATAGTTTTATCTATCAGAATTTTTAGGGTAGAAATTCCATGTAATTCGTGTGTACAATAGCAAAATTGCTAGTGAACATGAAAGCTAAAATACATACACAAACCCATAGTTAAGAAATGGGACACCAGGGGAAGGAAATTAACGCTAATAACCACCTACTACATGGTGGATACTGTGTGAGGCGCATCCACATTATCTCAATTTAAAAATCCAAAGTTAGAGACATGGGGCCAGGTGCAGTGGCTCACGCCTATAATCCCAACACTTTGGGAGGCCGAGGTGGGTGGATCACTTGAGGTTAGGAGTTCGAGACCGGCCTGACCAACATGGTGAAACCCCATCTCTACTAAAAAAAATACAAAAATTAGCCAGGCATGGTGGCGGCTTCCTGTAATCTCAGCTACTCGGGAGGCTGAGGCAGGAGAATTGCTTGAACCCAGGAGGCAGAGGTTGCAGCGAGCTGCGACAGTGCCACTGCAATCCAGCTAGGGTGACAAGGCGAAACTCTGTCTCAAAACAAACAAAGTTAGAGACATAAGCACTTCCCCCAATATAAATAAATGCATAAATGAGAGAGAAATAAAACAAGGAAGCTATTTGCTTCTCTCTTAACAAAATGTTTCATAACTTTAATTCTGTATTAGTTCTCTGAGTCTTACATTCTGTACTGGCCAATAAGCTCCATGAATTCCAAAACCATGTCTCACTCATCTAAATGATCCCTAGAGTATCTGGCTCACTGCATGACATACCTATGTTCAGTTTAAACTTATCAGAGGGCAGATTACAGTTCTAGTTCACTAATGGGAAATCTGAGGCCCTGTAGAATTTTGCAACTTGCCCAATGTTGTCCAGTTAAACAGGCAGAAGCAATGAATGTACTAACCAGCCTCACCTGACTACAGTGCATCCTCTTTTAATTATGAGGTTTACCCTTGATTATTCTGAGCGATCAGGGAAACTGCAGAATCCACTATAGCTATAAATTTGCAAAGGCAACATACTGACTCTCAGTTTAAATAAATTTTCTTTTGGTTACAAATACCAAAAATAGTAGTTAGTATTTAAGCACTTACTAGGAGCCAGGCACAATGTTAAGAATTTAATTCTAACAACAATCCTACTAGGGAGTGCCTATTATTATTATTATTTATTTTTTTTTTTTACAGGGTCTCTGTTGCCCGGGCTGGAGTGCAGTGCTGCAATCTTGGCTCACTGCTACCTCCGTCTCCCGGGTTCAAGTGATTCTCCTGCCTCAGCCTCCCGAGTAGCTGGGATTACAGGCACGTGCCACCACGCCCAGCTAATTTTTGTATTTTTAGTAGAGACGAGGTTTCACCATGTTGGCCAGGCTGGTCTCAAACTCCTGACCTCAAATGATCCACCTACCTCGGCCTCTCAAAGTGCTGGGATTACAGGCATGAGCACGGGGCCCAGCCGTGCTTATTATTAAACCCATTTTACAGATGAAGAAATTGAGGCTTAGAAATTAAATAAACTGACTAAGGAAACACATCTAGTAACCCTGGAAGAATGAAAATTTGATCCTCATGCTGTGAGGCTCTTGAGTTTCTGCTTTTAATGACTTCCATGTGGAAATGACAAACACTATCACATGGCTATCATATACATAAAGTAGCCTCAGAAAATGGGGCTTCCTTTGGGCTGAGTAGAAAGAGAGAGACAACTGCATCCAAACTGCAAGTGCACTTATATTCAGATATGTCACTTCAGTGCTTTTAGGTCACTGGAGACAGAGCTTTTCCTACAGAGCAGGGGTTCTGGTGGGATTCTGAAGCCAATGCAGGAAGACAGCATGGAAGAGCCTCCCATCTTCAAACACACAAGTCTTTTGAGGGACTTATGTAAGGTACCTTTTTTTCTTAGCAGAGCCGAAACATAATTAAACAAAAACTTAAAAATTGCTTTGAGTTGGAAACTAGAACTGAAGGAGCCTACAGCAGTCCTCGGTACTCTTCCTGGTGTCCACGGATGGCATACCCATCTCTCTCTCTCTCTCTCTGTTCCCTGTTCATCAGAGCAGCAGATACACCAACACCACTCTCAAGAGTCAGTAAAAGCTCCAAATCTATAGCCCAGATGCTACATACACTTCACAGAACTTAGGTGGTCCTTACTGTTAGAGACTGTGAAAAGTGGAATCGTCTCTCTACTCGAGAATCATTAGGTAATTTGAAGATGATCTTGACACTTTCAGGGTCATCAGGGGAAGGTTCAGGGGGCAGGCATTCCAACTTCCTTTCCTTTTCCTCCTGTAAATTCTGCAGAGACACAAAGCAAAGGTGAGGCTACAGCTCAAGAAATAAATACAATGACCATGTAGCTTTATTACGCAGTCGTCAGAAGAAAAATTAATGACTAAGTATTCTAAGAAAAACCTCTCAGGAATAGTCAAAAACAACCTAAATTTAAAGTACAATTGCATCTCATGTATTCTTTATTATGTCTAGGTATTTATTTGAGAAAAAGGAGAAAGGGAGCAGGGTGCCATGGTATGTGCCTGTAGTTCCAGCTACTTCAGAGGCCACAGCAGGACTTCTTAAGCCCAAGAGTTTCAGGGTGTAGTGCTCCATGATTGCACTGGTGAATAGCCACTGCACGCCAGCCTGGGCAACACAGTGAGACCCTGTCTCTTAAAAAAAAAAAAGAAATAAAAGGAAATGACTAAAAGACACTGGTTATAGGTAAGCGGTAATACATAATCAAATAAGATAATGTATATCTCAGTCTGATTGCTAGGGAACAAAAACAACAACAAAACAAAACAAAACAAAAACAAAAAGATAATGAGTAAAATGCCAAATCAGCTAATACTGGTATTAAGAATGAATATTTAGGGCCAGGCATGGTGGCTCACGCCTGTAATCCCAACACTTTGGAAGGCCAAGACAGGCAGATCATGTGAGGTCAGGAGTTCGAGAGCAGCCTGGCCAATATGGCAAAGCCCGTCTCTTTTTTTAAATTTTTATTTAAAAAAGAATGAATATTTAAATGGTATGAAAAATTTAAATCACCCCTAATTCCAACATGTTGTAATTTTTTCTTTCCTTTTTCCTTTTTTTTTTTCCCTCTTAGTCTGTTTAAGGTGGCTATCATTTTTTCCTTTCACACTTAAGACCAAGATGGCAAAGTCTCGGCAGTTTGGGAACCACAGGGAGTAAAGCCACACGTCCATTACCTGCCGCCGTCTCTCCTCTGCCAACTTTTGCTGTTGCACCTCCTCCTCCTTCCGCCGCTTACGCTCCCGCTCCTCCCGTTTCTTTCTTTCTTTCTCCTGGTCAGCTCTGAGAGAGGCCAGGTAGGCCTCATCCTGCTGTTGTCTCAGCACTTGGGTCTGGTTTCTTTCTTCCCTGTGAATAGATCAAAAGCAAGAGAAGAAAAACAGCACTCTCACAAAGTTCTGTGTTTTCTTATATTGAAATCTTCTGTGTGTGTGTGTGTGTAAAAATGTTGATATTCTTAGCAGATGACGATTTCACACTGCCATAAGGGATTCCAAAAGCAGAGCGTGGCAGAATCTGAATAAGCCACCTTTTTTCTCAGTTTAATTTGGCAGAAAAGGAAACAGCAAGCTTTCCTCTCCTCTTTTAAAATAAAACTTTTCCCCTAATTCTAACAAATGTGACACAGTACTGTTATTATGAAGGGATCATCAATATCATATTTTACAAGTAAATACCATTTTGGGTGACTGCATTTTTGTACTGATCTCATAAAACCAAAACACACACATATATATCCATACACACATTGTAGCAGATCTGAAAATGTAGAGTTTTCAGAGTCATTCAGAGAATCACTAATCAAAGATAAAACATTATAACATTTGGCATATCTCCTATTTTCTCTCCAACAAATTTCTGTTTTCTCTTAGCCAAAATATTTAGCCAATCAAAATAGTTGAACAGATTTTATCTTTAAAAATTAAGATAAAATTTACATGCAGTGAAATGCACAGATCTTAAATGTACAATTCAATGAATTTTGATAAATGTAACCATGTAATCACCACTCCAATCAAGACAGAACATTTCAGTTACCTCGGAAAGTTTCCTGTTCTATACATTTTTTTACACAGTTAAAATAACGCTATTATTTACAGGATTTTGATCTTGCATTTTTCTTTTTTTTTGGAGACAGGGCTAGCCTGTCACCCAGGCTAGAGTGCAGTGGTGCGATCATGACTCACTGCAGCCTCAACCTCCTAGGCTAAAGCAATCCTGCCACCTCAGCTTACAGGCGTGTGCCACCACGCCTAGCTAATTTTTGTATTTTTTGTAGAGATGGGGTTTCACCATGTTGCCCGGGCTGACCTCAAACTCCTGAGTTCAAGCAATCTTCTTACCTCAGCCTCCCGAAATGCTCGGATTACAGGTATGAGCCAACATGCTCGGCCTGATTCTGCATTTTTCTAATATGTAACAAGCATGTCCCCATGTTATTAAAAACTTTCCATAAAATTTAAGTTTGTTTAACTTTCTTGAGGGCAAGTTGGCATTACAAATCAAGAGCCTTAAAATATACTTATATTGATTGTCTCACCCAGAAACTGCACTTCCAGGAATTTAAATTTTAATCTAAGGAAACCATCACAAATTGCAAAAAATTATCTCCCTATATGCTAATTATAATAGTAACAAACCGAAAATAATCTAAAAATCCAACGAGAGTGGCCTGGTTAAATTATGATGTATTTAGATAATGGAATGTTATGCAGTAATTTTTAAAATGTGGCAGAATATTTAATGATGAGGGAAAAGGCCGTGATATATTCTTACATAAAGAAGGGTTGTAAAAAAGTATTATCCCAATTTTACAAATAAATGTGTACGTATATAGGGGTGTGTGTTGTGTATAAAATTAAAAAAATTTATAACAATGTTCAAGTGGTGGTAGGTTTATCAGTGATCTTAAATTTCTTCCTTGTGCTTTTTTGTGGTTTTAGGATTTCCTATAATTAATGTACATAACTTATGTAATGGAGAGGAATTATAACCATTCCACTTTTTTTTTTACATCGAAGTTCTTTATATTATATTCAGCTATTCTAAATGCCACAATATACATTCTTGAGCACAGAGGCCTGTCTTTGTTTATTCATTCATTTATTATTTTTTAAAGACAGAGTCCTGCTCTGTCATCCAGGCTGGAGTGCAGAGGCACAATCAGAGCTCACTGCTGCCTCGAACTCCTGGCCTCAAGCAATCCTCCTGCCTCGGGCTCCCAAGGACCTGGGACTACAGGCATGTACCACCATGCCTAGCTAATTTTTTCTTATTTTTTGTAGAGATGGGGTCTCGCTTTGCTGCCCAGTCTGGATTCAAGTAATCCTCCTGCCTCAGCCTCCTAACGTGCTAGGATTTCAGGTGTTAGCCACTGCACCCAGCCCTTGTCTTTATTTTGAACATCTCTAAGAACAGATTACCTGATATAGAGTAATTTAGGTCAAAGTATGTAAATATTTTGACAATAAATGGGCAAAGCTAAAAGCTAATAGCGGCCTGATGCACAGAAGAAGTCAGGATTGGTAGAGCCCCAGAGGTCAGCCCTCCAAATTTACAACTGGTCTCTCTCTGTTCCAGAAGGGAACTCCCTTGTACCTTTCTAGGCGTTCTGACACCAGGTAAGTCTGGTTAGCATCCATGATAAATGTCAGTTGGTTAATGAGGTCATCAGGTTGAATGAGGCCTTCTAGCCGTCCCACCACAGTCATCCTTCGATCCTTCAGCATAATCATGGCCAGGAATGGATAGGTGTTCTCTCGTAAAGCCTGTGAGACTGATAAAAAGACCCAACAGATCAAGGGCAGGACTTGACGGTGAAAAAGATCAACCCTTAGACTTTCCACAATGAGTGAGAGAGAACTGTTTTAATCCTGGTTGGGGAAGACGAGAGGTATCATTTAGTCTCCGCTTTTTCCCCGCCTCCTAGTTTCTTTCTTTTCTTTTTTTGAGCCAGGGTCTCACTATGTTGCTCAGGCTGGTCTCCAGCTCCTGGGCTCAAGTGACCCTCCCACCTCAGCCTCCTGAGAAGCAGGGATTACAGGAGTGTGCCACCATGCCCAGTTCCTCCCAGTTTTGTAATCTTTTGTTTTTGTTATCAATTTGCATGCCTATCCCTAGGTGCTTGACTAGAATAGGACAGGCTTTCCTGGTGGCGGTGTGGTTGTTGTGATGATGCCAGGGAAGGCTGCAGAGTTTAAGGATAATGTCTACTTGATGGTACAAAAAGGATCTATAAAGAATCTGGCACAGTTTTTCCCTGTACAAGGGCTCAAACCTAAAAGGGCACAAGGCTGCAAGTCTCAGCCTGATGATACTGATAATAATCTCCATCATCATTTTTTTTTCTCTTGCCTAATCCTTTCCTTATCCTTTCTCCCCACGTAACTTTTCTCCACCCTTAAAAAGGTTAGTTTTTCTGTTCCAAAGAAGCTTATTAATAGAAAGTTGAGGCTGGGCTGGTAGCTCCACCTTTAATCCTAGCACTTTTGGGAGGCGGAGGTGGTTGGATCACTTGAGGTCAGGGGTTTGAGACCAGCCTGGCCAACATAATGAAACCCCATCTCTACAAAAAATACAAAAATTAGCAGGGTGTGGTGGTACGCGCCTGTAATTCCAGATAGGCGAGAGGCTGAGGCAGGAGAATCGCTTGAACCCGGGAGGTGGAGGCTGCAGTGAACTGAGATCGCACCACTGCACTCCAACCTGGGTGACAGAGTAAAACTTGGTCTCAAAAAAAAAAAAAAAAAAATTGGTGTCCAAATGACCAAGATTTTTACCATAACAGAGTTTTACCTATGTTTTCCTTATGGTGTGAAATAAGAGATTTTATAAACTTCTATTAAAAAAAAATCCTTACCTTCCTTCTATTCACAACCTCCCTTCTGCCCCCTGCAAAGCCATATTAGAATGGCAAAACGCATGCAGGAATTTGGATGTTTAAAAACAATTAGGCTTAAGATTCAGACTCTGGGATGCAGGGACAACATCTGCCACATCTTTGGTTCTCAAGACATGGCACAGTATGTGGCATGCTAATATAAACTCAAAAGTTGCTGGATAGAAGTAGCCACAAAAATGACTACATTTTTCCTCACTGGATGCCTTCGTATCTTTTACTAACCGTCTAAAAATACTTATCTCCAAAGAAGAGTTATTGTCAGCAAAGATCTGAACTTTCCAAATCCATATCAGCACTCAAGGTACTCAAACAACTGACTCACTATGCAAGGGCTCTGTTAAAATCGTTGATGAAAAGAATAAACTCTTCAGTAAAAAGCCCATTAAGATTAAAAGCAAGCTGCTAGCCAAGACTGGGTATTTCTATGAATGTGGCAGGCTTTGGCAATGCTGAATGTGAAGAACGGGCTTTAGAATCTGGCAGACCCGACTGTACGCTACAACTTGCTAATTATGGCGGGGCACAGTGGCTCACACCTGTAATCCCAGCACTTTGGGAGGCTGAGGTGGGCTGCTCACTTGAGTCCAGGAGTTTGAGGCTACATGGTGAAACCCCATCTCTACTAAAAATACAAAAAAATTAGCTGGGCGTGGTGGTGCATGCCTGTAGTTCCAGCTACTCAGGAGGCTGAGGCAGGACAATCGCTTGAACCCAGGAGGTGGAGGTTGCAGTGAGCCAAGATCGCACCACTGCACTCCAGCCTGGGCGACAGAGCAAGACTCCATCTCAAAAAAATTTTTTTAATTAATTAAATAAAAACAAAAAAAATAAAACTTGCTAATTGTGTGATCTTCAGCCAGTGGCTTGAACTCTCTGAGCCTATTTCCTAAACCATAAAGCAAAGGTAATATGACCCCCCATCTCTCAGGACTGCTGAGAGGATTAAATGAGACAATATAAAATAGCAACTAGCGTCGTATCTACCACAGAACAAACACACTTGTAATAAATGGCATGGCATGTCTTTCCAGACTATTCCAAAGATACTCCAACAATCTCAATGAGGCAGAAGAAACATAACTTACCCCTGTATCCCTCAGGTTTGTTTGTAGAGCATGCCCAGAAGAGCATCCTAGTGTTTATTAGTGAAATAACTTCAGGTGCACAGAGTGTGTTGCTGTGGAAAGGTATGAAAAGGATATGAGAACAACTTGCTGACTATAAACTGTCACCAGAAAGAGTCAGAAAAGAGAAGGAAAATAATCAATCCACTTACCGACAAAACTCATCAGAGTCCTGGTGATCATCTCCATGAAGATAAACCAAAAGAAAGCGAAGCTCCCTTTTGGCATCGTTAAGTGCCTGTGAGAAAGAGAAGGTCACTCACTATTAAGAAGACTGTGCCTTGAGCTTATATTTAAGCTAAGGGTCCTAATGGATACAGTTATGTATTTAGGAACAAAAGGAAAAATAAGGAAAAAAGGTGAGCAAGAAATCAGAAAATTCCTGAGCTCCTACCTTCACACCCCTGGCATTGTTCTCCCTATAGAAACTCCACGCTAACAAGCTTTAATGAAAAGGTTTTAGTGTTGTTAGGATTCAAACTTAACAGACACATGAGAGTAGACAGGCTTACAAACACAGGTTCCCAACAAACCACAGAAAAGTCAGCTGCACCCACAGTCTAAGGAAGATAAAAACAGGAGAATCTGACCATATGAAAGGGAGGTGAGAATTTTTCTACTTCACAGCTACAACATCCTTGTAAGTAAAAAATAACTGCGAAGACAACCCTGATCCCAGGCCACATATCGAGTAGGAATGATGGACTGTACGATCCAAAGGCATTCTAAAGAGCATAGGGTGTAAAAGACTTTCAAAGACAAGGCTAGCGCCGAAGACTCCTGTGCGTGCTCCTGCATGTGCGTGCTCCTGAGCACATTACACTGTACGACTGCTGACATGGTCAAGGGTGGTCTACCCTCAGGATCATAGCAGAGAGGGTACACAGGAGGTGCTCATCTCACTCATCTCTGTATCTCTAGCACTGAGGACATTGCCTGGCATACAGTAGGTGCTCAGTTTTTGTTGAGTGTGGTGGGAACAGCCAGCGAGGAGACTGACTATGATAAAAAGCAGATGTGGGAAAATGAAAGCAGGAAGCAAGGGTGAGCATTTTTCTTTCTCCAGATAGATTCAGGAATTCTGGAGGCTGCATAATAGAACCCCCTTTTGCCTATTGCCACAGCATTCCCATAGTTTTCCCTATTCCTGTAGTGTTAATTCTATGTATTTCTCTGGCAAACTAGAGATATACCAAACACCCACAGAACTCTAATTTTTCCTCCCCTGAATGGTGAGGTCTTGAGTCAAAGGTCTACATGGCTGAGGTTGAATGAGATGTGCTACCCTGAGTCTATGGTCTATGTCCTTATTCAATTCTGTGAGAGATCAAAGAAGATGTAGGCTTTGCCTTCAAGGGGCTTTCAGTCTGGTAGCAGAGATTAGACACGAACACAAATGATATAGGAAAGAATATAAAATTGCTATCAATTTTTAAAAGCTATGGAAGAACAAAGGGAAAGATTAGTATTCTAGATGATGAGATAGGGCAGGACAGGGCACAACAATCAGGGATAGCTGTAAGTGGGGCGTGACATAATCTAGTTGAAGGACTGGCAAGATTCCAATTAGCAAAAATGTGAGGAAGGCATTCCACGTGGATGGACCGGCAAAAGCAAAGGCACAGAGGTAGGCAAGTACAGACTATGTTCAGGGAATGAGTCAGCTGGAACTGAGGGTATGGTAAAATAAGTTATGCAGAAAAGACCTCAAAAGAAGGGCAGCATTAGATCAAAGAGGGGCCAGCTAAAAGGTTTGGTCTTTTTTATTACCCACCCCTATAAGCAGTGAAGAGCTAATTAAGGTTTTTGAGTACAAGAAGGACATGATCAGTGCTGGGCTGTGCTCTCCTTTGAGGATAGAATCATTTCGGTAAGTTGGCATCTATATGGTTTATGGCACTGACCTGGCTGTACGTTCCCTGGTAGAAGACAGGGTGTGCCCTCCCATATTTCTCTTCAAAAGAGTGCATAAATGAAACAATGTCCCCAACGGGGTCAGTGACCCGGCTGCGAGGGTCAGGCCGTATAAAACGAAGAGCAAACCTGGGGAGGAAGGAATAAATATCACATGAATCCAGCTTACTACAGTGCATATCGAGTGGGCCAATTTGTACAGATTCCTGTAACAGAGCCAGAGGCACGGCAACAAAGGGAGGTGAACAGTCTGTGAGTGGACCATCAAATCCGAGAGTAGAGTCTGGTTCAAAAGCCATAAAGCAGCAAGTGTTATTCTATTGCCTGTTCAGGAAGAATGCAAACTACTGGGATTATAAATTCCAACACTGGCCTACATAAATCCTGAGTATTTTTTGTAGAACAATTTAGGGCTAGAAGGGTTTGGAAGGGAAGACACAGTATCCAAAAAGATCATGTGTCAGGCTATGCACCCAGACTCTCTAGAATGGCACCGTCTAAGTACTGTAGCCACTAGTCAAATGTGGCTATTCTGAATTTAAATCTATTACATACAATTAAAATTCAGTTCCTTAGTAATGCTAGCCACATTTCAAGTGCTCAACAGCCACGTGTTTAATGGCTTTCATACTGAACAGCGGAGATACAGAACGTTTCTATCATCACAGAGAGTTCTACTGGACAGTGCTCTAGAACAGAGGTCATTTTCTGGTTGTCCTACTTGCCCCTCCTTCTCCTTTCTGTTTTCCTGGGATTTTAAATATTGAGTTCACAACCCCAAACTATTCAACTTACGGATAGGAACTTCAAATCTGAAGTTGCGGTTATGACTTACTTGCTCTTCAAAGGGGCAAGTACCTTTTGCTTGATGATTTATGGTTGATGGCAACCATGGAGGAAGTTATAAAACTGCTCCACAGTACCCTGGCAGATGTGGAGTACTGGCAGCTCTTGTAAAGTGAAGAATACATACCTAATGGTACCACACATCTGTTTCTAAAGGGCCTACCCTATTTGTATAGTACCATTTATTTATCCTTTGGGTTTCCAGAGAAGGCAACAGGACAGAGGATAATGTGTTACCTAACATTAAACAAGCTGGTTGGATGATACAGCTGCATTAAAATTAGTAATACATGCCGTGCATATTTTCCCTAGAAAAGCAAACAATATTCATTTACTTAAAACGTTTTCAGCACAGACAAGGTGATTAAACTGTGATACTTTTCCTTAACAAAAAGTGAGTCAATTCATTATCCCAACAAATTCCCCCTGTGTATACAATTCTACTTGGAATTTCTCCCGAGTAATCAAACCAAATTCATTGACAACAACGTTCCAGAGCGAATTAAAAGCACAAAATGTAGTAAGTTGTATACGTGGGGGAATGGTTAGAAATTCATCAGAAGACTGATGTTTTAACTACTTTCTTTGAAATTAAGCATTTTAGAATTCTCTCTTAAAGCCTTTATTTTTTTTTCCTCATTACACAATATTCCCACGATCTACACAATTTAGGACAATCAGCTTTTTTGATTTTTTAGAAAAAAACAGAGATGTCAACTTAGTTTTCATTATGATTTTAAAGATTTTTACATGTTCATTCTTAAATAAAATGGGGATGGAAAGAGTACTAAGCAATTAGTGATCATGAAGAATGTTGCTAAACCAAGAAAGCCATTAAGTAGACAGCCTCATAAAACACCAAGGGTCCAATATAAAAGGTACTATCTGACCCTTGTACTTATGCAGCTGCTGGACCCACAACTTCAGCCTCTGCTCCCTAGAGGCAGGGTAAAGGCTGTCCCATATTTGAAGGGAAGTACAGGGAACCTGTACTTCCAGGGAAGGCCCAGACTACATATCCCAGCTCCATCTGCTGGCCTGGATGCCCTTGAACATTTAAGTTCCCCATAAAGCCTAGACATGGCTCTGGACCAGATAACCCAAGCCTGACATGCTAAGAAGTTGTGCCCCACTCATTTTCTTTTCTTTTTCTTTTTTTTTTTTTTGAGACGGAGTCCCACTCTCTCACCCAGGCTGGAGTGCAGTGGTGCGATCTAGGCTCACTGCAAGCTCCGCCTCCCGGGTTCACGCCATTCTCCTGCCTCAGCCTCCTGAGTAGTTGGGACTACAGGCACCAGCCACCGCGCCCGGCTAATTTTTTGTATTTTTAGTAGAGACAGGGTTTCACCGTATTAGCCAGGATGGTCTTGATCTCCTGACGTTGTGATCCGCCCACCTCAGCCTCCCAAAGTGCTGGGATTACAGGCGTGAGCCACAGAGCCCGGCCAGTTGAGCCCCACTCATTTTCTGGCCTTGGACCCTCTGTAGCTTCCAATGATGAGCTCTTTTAATGGTACATGAAGGAAGCTAGAAGAAAGGTGAAGGTATGAAGCAAGTGGGTATATACATAAAAGGGTTCCAGTGTTTGCAACCTAGGGGCTGCCAGAGCAAAGTGAAAAGGTACCGAAGCTGCCAGGCATGGTGGCTCATGCCAGCAATCCCAGCACTTCGGGAGGCCAAGGCAGGTGGATCACTTGAGGCCGGGAGCTCAAGATCAGCCTGGCCAACAAAATGAGACTCCATCTCTACTGTCTCTACTAAAAATACAAAAATTAGCCAGGCGTGGTGGCGCATGCTTGTAATCCCAGCTATCTGGGAGGCTGAGGTATGAGAATCGCTTGAACCCAGGAGGTGAAGGTTGCAGTGAGTCGAGATGGTGGCACTGCACTCTAGCCTGGGTGACAGCGACAGAGCAAGACTCTGTTTCAAAAAAAGAAAGAAAAAGAAAGAAAAGGTGTAACAGGAGTGTCTAGGGAGGTCCAACTATTGTGGGAGGAATCAAGGGCAAACTGGGTAATCTCAGAGCAAGAGAATTTGTTGGGATTGTGAGTAGTCAGGTGGAGGAGAAGTAGTTGAGGAAGAAAGTTCTAAGGAGTGTGAAGCTAGGAGATGATAGTGGTTAGAAAGGAAAGGGTGTGGACATCAACTAGGAAGTGTAGAGGTGACAAATATGGTGGGGGGGGGAGGGGGAGACAAATAAATATAGTCAGACTGGTTTTTGCAAACAAAAGGTAAGACTAATTTAAAAACAATTCCATTTCACAATGCCTGCCAATGCTTCAACAATTTAAAATACTTGTATGTTGTATTAAAAGACAGTTCGGGAAGTGTATTCCATCTCATGACAAATTGGTAAGTCAACATTGATAGAGCATAAAGCTTATTTTGGCCTAAATTTCAGCTCCAAAGTCTTACTATTCTACTAATACATAAATCCAAAGGTACATACCTAAATATATCAAGTATCGTGTAATAGGTAAACCGGAATGGAAGCATTATCAAGTAATAACCCCATCCAAGCAGCCCCTGAAAGTCCAAAAACAAAGTTAGAGACAATTCTCTCAATCCCTAATATTTTATCAAATGGCTAGGTCAGATTTTCTCACTCTTTTTGGTCCTTCCATGTGATTTGTTCCTCTAAAGTACAGTTCCTTCTTCCTGGCCACCTCATCCTTCTAAGTGCCACCATCTTTGGTCTTATTTCATCTTACTATCATTTTTTTTTGCAGAATTTTTGTATTAAATCTGCTTTAAGGTCCAGAGCTGTATCTCCTGCCTGTAATCCCAGCACTTTGGGAGGCTGAGTGGGGCAGATCACCTGAGGTCAGGAGTTTGAGACCAGCCTGGCCAACACGGTGAAATCCCATCTCTACTAAAAATACAAAAATTAGCCAGGCATGGTGGCATGCACCTGTAGTCCCAGCTACTCAGGGAGGCTGAGGCAGGAAAATTGCTTAAACCCAGGAGGCGGAGGTTGCAGTGAGCTGAGATCGCGCCACTGAACTCCAGCCTGGGGGCAGAGCAAGATTCTGTCTCAAAAAAACAAACAAACAAATAAAAACCAAAACTGCCTTAATACTTATTTTTGGCAGCTACTTATAGACTTGTCAAATTCAATTGCAAATTAATGTTCCCCAAATGATACACACTCATTCTTTCCTTTTTAGATTTACACATCAAAATATGGTATACAGAAATAAGCCAGGCTTGGTGGCTCACGCCTGTAATCCCAACACTTTGGGAGGCTGAGGCGGATGGATCACCTGGGGTCAGGAGTTCGAGACCAGCCTGGTCAACATGGTAAAACCCTGTCTCTACTAAAAATACAAAAATTAGCTGGGTGTGGTGGCTCACACTTGTACTCCCAGCAATTTGGGAAGCCAAGGCAGGCAGATCACTTGAGGTCAGGAGTTTGAGACCAGCCTGGCCAACATGGTGAAACCCTGTCTCTACTAAAAATACAAAAATTAGCCAGACGCGGTGGTGGGCGCCTGTAATCCCAGCTACTCAGGAGGCTGAGGCAGGAGAATCGCTTGAACCTGGGAAGCTGAGGTTGCAGTGAGCTGAGATCACACCACTGCACTCCAGCCTGGGCAACAGAGGGAGATTCTGTCCCAAAACAAAACAAACAAACATAAAAACCTAAAATAATGTATATAGAAATAGCAAGAAAGATAATCACTATTACTAACCTTGGACATTGGTATATAAACATTAAATAATTATATTAACCACAATGACAAATCCCCATATAGCTGCTTATCTTAGTAATAATGCTAATTATTATTGCTGTTATTAATTATTAAAACTAGCATACATCCAGGGCTCTATAGTTTATAAAGCATTTCATAGTTGTCACATTGTGTTAACCTGAGACACTTTCTGTGTCTGTGGCCAGGAAGCTCTGGAGCCCCATGGCTGACATGGGAATCTGCTACTGTACTTCAGAAAACCACAGAGCACTACTTAGAAACATGTTTTAAAACATCAAGTAGGCCAGGCACAGTGCCTCAAGCCTGTAATTCCAGCACTTTGGGAGGCTGAGGTGGGCAGATAACTTGAGCTCAGGAGTTCAAGACCAGCCTGGGCAACATAGCAAGACCCCATCTCTACAAAAAATACAAAAATTAACCAGGATGGTGGCGCACACCTGTAGTCCCAGCTACTTAGGAGGCTGAGGTGGAGGACTGCTTGAGCCCGGGAGGTCTAGGCTGCAGCGAGCCAAGATCATGCCACTGCACTCCAGGCTGGGCGACAGAGTGAGACCCTGTCTCAAACAGAACAAAACACAACAAAAATCAAGTACTCCACAAAAAGGCTTGATGATGGAGTAAATTCTAACTGCTGCAATGTTAAAGGGAGTGTTTTCTTAGGATTCTAAATGCAAGTATAAAAGTATAAGAGGTGAGTATAACCCCAGGGGTAAGAAAAAGAAAGTCCAAGCAGTTCTTTAGAATTCATTATCAGTGTACACATCTGACTTCCTTCAATAGACTGTGAGAAATTGAATTTGAAATGGGAAGACTGGCTCTTTATTCATGTCTGGATCCCTAGTAGCAAGATACCAGGTTATTGGAGTACTCTTAAATGTCTGTCAAATTTAAGTGAACCACCTCCTTGCTACTAGCCCTTCAAGGCTAATTTCAAAGACGTGGCCAAAGCTCCTACAAAGATTCCATATACTTCCTCAAAACTGGTTTAAGATTAAGTAAACTGAAGCAACAAAGAACTTGAGTAAACAAATTGTAACTTAAGAGGCAGAAAACACTCTCCAAATAACTGGCAAAGAAAAGAAAAAAAAAATGAGTAGTTTCTGTAACAATTCCTTGAGGAATCAAGGCAAAATAATACACCCAACGGGCCAAGTCTAACTAACAGGTTTACATTCTAAATATTTGTTTTGCTCCTGTCACAGGGAGATCAATATAACCAAGTGGATATACTTATAAATAAAAAAGGGGGAAATCCCAGCTATGAAATAACTTGCCCTTGGTTGAGGTCTTGAGACAACATAGCTGTAGATCCTGTGGTCAGCTGTATTAACCTGCAGGGGTCGTGATGGAGGTGGGTTGAAAACACTAGGTACGCCCTCTTGCTCATTCAATCTGTCCTGTACAGCAGCCTGAGAAGGAAAACGGAGTGGCAAGAGTTTCAGCGATGCTCAAATCAACCAACAACAAGAGGTGAGGCAACTATTGCGTGGTATTCCAAAACAGGATGGTCATGAATACACCAAAAGGTCACTGAGGAGTGCACCTTCATGGGCCTGTTAACCGGCTGTACTTGGAGGCAACTGGAGTTGTCACTCCAGAATGCATCCATGGTAGAGGAGACGAGGAAACTTGTCTGGAAGCTACATTTATGCAGCAAGCGTACTGCCTGGATTCAGATGGCATGTATTATTTAGGGTGGCTGGGATATAAAGTGCTTCACTGTACAATCCCAAGAAAAGCCATCCTCAGAGAATACAATGTAGGCAGTACCCCTGGAGTTATGCAGTGAAGCAGTCCTGATGAGTGGCATCTGATGAAGGGGCTTGCAGCAGAGAAACTTCGGTCTGATCCAAGCTCCATCTCTCTGAAAAGTTGCTCAATGTATGAGCCTCAGGTCAGGCGCGGTGGCTCAAACCTGTAATCCTAACACTTTGGGAGGCTGAGGTGAGAGGATTGCTTGAGCCCAGAGACCAGAAATTCGAGACCAGCCAGGGCAATGAAACGAGACCCTGTCTCTAAAAATAAAAAATAAAGAAGAAAAAAACATATGAGCCTCAGTTTCCTCATGTGCAAAATAAAGGAACAATATTTCTGAGTTAATCTGAAAATTTAATGAGTTGGCCACACATAAAGATCCTAATACAACTCCTGTCAGACTACTGATATTCAGTTTAAAAAATTCATTCCCTCCTTAACTCTGTCCTTGAAATAGATATTTGTCTCAATGTAGTAAAAAAAAGTTGACCTTACCCAAAGAGATGTCTGATCTTTCCCTTTTGGGAGGTAATCTATGTCAGACCTGATAAGCATGTCTTTGTTACTAGATTTTAGGTTGCAGCTGCAACACCCAGTAGTCTTAGGGTGAAAGCCGGCCATGCCAGAAAGACCAACCATGTGGTTTAGGGTGGGGAACTTTGGACAACTTGGTATCAGTTGACTTGAAGACTGAGTTCAACCATGTGGGCAGCCAAACAAATCAATCGTGCCTATGTAATGATGCCCTAATAAATTCTCTGGAAGCACTGAAGCTTCCCTGGTTGGCAATACAGTAGTCCCTTCTTATCCACAGGGATATGTTCCAAGACCTCTAGTAGATTCCTGAAACCATGTATAGTACCGAACTTGAATGCTGTCATTGGAAGCTATTTCTCTTCATGTCTTCCACTCAAAAAATGCCTTTTCCATCTTAACTATGCACTTATCATGCACTGTGGCTGCAATTTTTGCAGAAGTGTGACCATAAAACTACTATGAATTTCTTTTTCTTTCTTCACAATTTCACAAACACAAGCTAGATCTTAGCAACTTCAGCATATAATTTTTTTATTTCCTCATTAAGTCAGGAACTTTAACCTTTTTTTTTTTTTTTCTTGAGATGGAGTCTTATTCTGTTGCCCAGGCTGGAGTGCAGTGGCATGATCTCAGCTCACTGCAACCTCCGCGCCCCCAGGTTCAAGCGATTCTCCTGCCTCAGCCTCCCGAGTAGCTGGGATTACAGGCTCCTGCCACTGTGCCCAGCTAATTTTTGTATTTTTAGTAGAGACGGGGTTTCACCATCTTGGCCAGGCTGGTCTTGAACTCCTCACCTCATGATCTACCTGCCTCGGCCTCCCAAAGTGCTGGGATTACAGGCATGAGCCACTGCTGGCCAGGAACTTTAACCTTTTCACTTAAAGGACACATTTCCTGGCTTCTCTCTAGCATAGCTGAGTTGCCAGCATCACTACTCCTGTGCTTTGGGGCCAATATTAAGTAAAATAGGGGAACCTGAACAAAAGTACTGTAATGGCACAACAGTTGATCTGATAACGGCTACTAACTGACTAACAGGTGGGTCTTGTATACAGTATGGAGACGCTGGACAAATGGATAATTCACGTTCCGGGTAAGGTAGAATGGGACAGAGTGAGATTTCATCATGTTTCTCAGAACAGCATGCATTTTAAAACTTATGAATTGTTTATTTCTGGAATCTTCCACTTAATATTTTCAAACCACAGTTGCCTACTAGTAACTGAAACCACAGAATGTGAAACTGTGGGTGGAGGGGGCTACTATACTTCATGCATATTGTTATACATCTATGCCAAGAAGGTAATGTGTCCCGACTCTGCAGGAGCGTAGTATGCAAGCTTCATGTCCAAAATCCTTTTAGACTCTGCCCCCTTTTTTTCTTTTTTTTTCTTTTTTTGAGACGGAGTCTAGCTCTGTCACCAGGCTGGAGTGCAGTGGTACAATCTCGGCTCACTGCAACTTCCCCCTCCCAGGTTCAAGCAATTCTCCCACCTCATCCTCCAAGTAACTGGGATTACAGGCACGCACCGCCACACACAGCTAATTTTTGTATTTTTAGTAGCGATGGGGTTTCACGATGTTGGCCAGAATGGTCTTAAATTCCCGACCTCGTGATCCACCCACCTTGGCCTCCGAAAGGGCTGGGATTACAGGCGTGAGCCACCACACCCGGCCAACTCTGCCCTATTTGTCTCTTCCTTTAGCTGCTTTTAATCTATATGTTCCCTATAATAAACTATAACCATGACTATAACAACTTTCAGTGAGTTCTAGTGAATTAGCAAATCTGAAGACGGTTTTGCGACACTCTGAAACTGCAGGTGGTTTCAGAAGTGAAGGTGGTCTTTAGGAGGGCAGTGTGCCCTCTGAACTCAATTACTAGCTTCAAACTTTGAAATTTGGCTAATATCAGGTAGTCCCCTAGTTTTACAATTCAACGAGGAAAGAATAATCTTTCAACAAATGATGCTGGGATAATTGGATATCCACATGCAAAAGAAAGTGGATTAACCCCTAGATCACACTATACATAAAAATTAACTACAAATACATCAAATACATCAAAAACCTAAATGTAAAAGCTGAAATTATAAAACTCTTAAAACAAGGGTATAAATCTTCCCAACCTCAGATTAAGCAAAAGTATCTTAGATACGACAACAAAAGCACACGCGACAAAAGAAAAAAGTAGATAAATTGGACTTCATCAAAACGAAAAACTTTTCTGCATCAAATTACACTATCATGAATGCGGCAAGATAGCATGTACCTGTAGTCTGAGGTGTCAGGGAGGCTGAGGCAGGAAGGCTTCTTGAGCCCAGGACTTCAAGGTTACAGTGAGCTATGATCAGGCCACTGCACTCCAGCCTGGGCAACAAACCAAGACTCCATCTCTCAAAAAAAATAAAATAAATAAAAATAAATAAAAAAAAGAAAACAGGCCGGGCACAGTGGCTCACACCTGTAATCCCAGCACTTTGGGAGGCCGAGGCGGGCGGATCACAAGGTCAAGAGACCAAGACCATCCTGGCCAACACTACTAAAAATACAAACAACAACAACAACAACAACAAAACCACAAACCACTATCAAGAGAGTAAAAAGATAACTCGCAGAAAGGGAGAAAACATTTGCAAATTAAATATCAGATAAGCACCAGGCATGGTGGCTCACGTCTGGAATCCCAACACTTTGGGAAGACAAGCTGGGAGAATCACTGGAGCCCAGGAGTTTAAGACCAGCCTGGTCAATACAGCGAGACCCCATCTGTACAAAAAATAAAAAAATAAAATATTAGCTGGATGTGGTGGTGTGTGCTTGTAGTCCTAGCTACTCAGGAGGCTGAAGTGAAAGGATCACTTGAGTCTGGGAGGTCAAGGCTGCAGTTAGCCATAATAGTACCACTGTACTCCAGCCTGGGCAACAGAGAGAAATCCTGTCTCAAAAAAACATAAACTGGCCAGACGCAGTGCTTACGCCTGTAATTCCAGGAATTTGGGAGGCCAAGGCGGGTGGATCACTTGAGGCCAGGAGTTCAACACCAGCCTGGCCAACATGGAGAAACCTCGCCTCTACTAAAAATACAAAAATTAGCCGGGCATGGGACACCTGTAGTCCCAGCTACTCAGGAGGCTGAGGCAGGAAAATTATTTGAACCTGGGACGTGGAGGTTGCAGTGAGCCGTGATCACGCCTCTGCACTCTAGCCTGTGCCACAGAGTGAAACTTCATCTCAAAAAAAAAAAAAAACTTTCACAGCTCAACATGAAAAAGATAACCAAATTTAAGAACTGGCAAAGGACTTGAATAGACATTTTTGCAAAGAAGATATGCAAATGTTCAATAAGAATATGAAAAAATATTCAACATCATTTTAGCCACTAGGGAAATGCAAATCAAAACCACCCTAGATCACTAGGGTGAGTATGATCTAGAAGACAAATATTAACAAGTGTTGGTGAGGGTGTGGAGAAATTCAGACCTTCCTACAACGCTGTTGGGAATTTAAAATGGTATAACCACTTTGAAAACAGTCTGGGAGCTCTTCAAAAGGTTAAACATAGTGTCACCATATGACTCAGCAAAGTCCATTCCTAGGTATAGACCCAAAGGAAATGAAAACACATATTCACACAAGAGCTTGAACGCTAGGGCCCGGTGTGGTAGCGTGGGCCTGTAGTCCCATCTACTTGAAGCTGAGGTCAGAGGAATGCTTGAGCCCAGGAGTTCAACTGCAGTGAGCTATGATCAAACCTGCACTCCAGCTTGGGTGACACAGTAAGACCCTGTCTCTCTCTCTCCCTTTTTTTTTTTGAGACAGAGTCTCACTCTGTCCCCCAGGCTGGAGTGCAGTGGCATGTTCTCAGCTCACTGCAAGCTCTGCCTCCCGAGTTCACGTCATTCTCCTGCCTCAGCCTCCCGAGTAGCTGGGACTACAGGCGCCCACCACCACACCTGGCTAATTTTTTATATTTTTAGTAGAGACAGGGTTTCATTGTGTTAGCCAGGATGATCTCGTTCTCCTGACCTCGTGATCTGCCTGCCTTGGCCTCCCAAAGTGCTGGGATTACAGGCGTGAGCCACCGCGCCCGGCCCAACCCTGTCTCTTAGAAAGAAAAAAACAAGGCCAGGTGTGGTGGCTCATGCCTGTAATCCTAGCACCTTGGGAGGCGGAGGTGGGTGGATCACAAGGTCAGGAGATCAAGACCAGCCTGGCCAATATGGTGAAACCTCGTCTCTACTAAAAATACAAAAAATTAGCCGGGCGTGGTGGTGCACACCTATAATCCCAGCTACTCAGGAGACTGAGGCAGGAGAATTGCTTGAACCCGGGAGGCGGAGGTTGCAGTGAGCCAAGATCACACCACTGCACTCCAGCCTGGGCAACAAGAGCAAAACTCCATCTCAAAAAAATAAAAATAAATAAAGATAAAAAAACAAAAAGCAAAACTCTCCAGATCCTCTGTTCCATTTCCTATGCTCATCTCATTTGTCATTTATTTATTTTTTTAAATTATACTTTAAGTTCTGGGATACATGTACGGAATGTGCAGGTTTGTTACATAGGTATACACATGCCATGGTGGTTTGCTGCACCCATCAACCCGTCATCTACATTAGGTATTTCTCCTAATGCTATCCCTCCCCTAGCCCCCCAGCCCCCCACCCCCCGAGAGGCCCCGTGTGTGATGTTCCCCTCCGGTCATTTATTACAAACTGAAATTCTCTAGAATTAAGTTCCATAAGAGTAGGGACTTGGCTGGATGTGGTGGCTCACACATGTAATCCCAGTACTTTGGGAAGCTGAGGCAGGAGGATTGCTTGAGCCCAGGAATTCAAGACCAGCTTGGGCAACACAGCAAGACCTCGTCTCCACAAAAAAATTAAAAATCAGCTGGGCATGGTGTTACATGTTTGTAGTCCCAGCTATTTGGGAGGCTAGGGCAGGAAAATTGCTTGAGCCCAGAAGTCAAAGGCTGTAGTGAGGTATGCTTGTGCCAATGCATTCCAGCCCAGGTGACAGAGCAAGACCCCGTCTTAAAAAAATTAAAAAAGAGTAAGGACTTACTTTTGTTCACTAATATAATGCCAGAGCCTAGAGTTTAATTGCTCAAAAATGTGTTGAATAACGAAATCATATTAGGAATACATTTTATTAAAAAAAAAAACTGGAAAAAAAAAGGGAACACGTTTTTAGGAATCCAGCACCCTTTTAAAATAGCATATAATAATTAAAACAGTAATTTGGGATCAAGAGGGTGTTTTGACAAAATTCAACATCCACTCAGTATAAACTATTAATATACTAAGAATGGAAGGGAAAAACCAACAGATATTTATTTCCATGTTATATGCTGGGAATACAGCAGTTAAAACAAAACAAAAAAATCTCTGCTCTTAGGGAGCTTACATCCTTGGAGATCTATCTCAAAGTAACAACTAACATCACACTTGCTAATAAAAAATCAGAGGCATGGCCGGGCGCGGTGGCTCACGCCTGTAATCCCAGCACTTTGGAAGGCTGAGCGGGGCGGATCATCTGAGGTCAGGAGTTCAAGACCAGCCTAGGCAACATGGTGAAACCCCGTCTCTACTAAAAATACAAATTAGCCGGGTGCAGTGGTGTCTGCCTGTAATCCCAGCTACTCAGGGGGCTGAGGTAGGAGAATCGCTTGAACTTGGGAGGCAGAGGTTGCAGTGAGCTGAGAGCACGCCACTGCACTCTAGCCTGGGAGACGGAGCGAGACTTTGTCTCAAAAAAAAAAAATCAGAGGCATTATAGTGAGGACAAAATGCTATTACCATTATCAACTGACAGTGTTTTAAAGTTCTTGCTAATTCAATGGTCAAGGAGAAGAGTTGCAGAGAACATGACTACCTAGACAACCCCAAAGAATAAACTATAAAATATGTAAGAAGAAGGTTCACATCAAGACATCTGGTTAAAAACTAAATATACAAAAACCAATTGTTTTCCCAACAAGATACTAACAAACAGTAGGGGGTGGGGCACTATATTGAGGGATTTAGTCACAAATTTTTCTATGATTTTATAAACTTTCTCACATTCTTTACCTTCCTGCACTTTTATTTTTAGAGTCATAATTCTGAAAAAAATCTACTGAAAAGATTCCTGCTATGGAAAAACATACGGTTTTGACTCTTAATCAGACCAGAGAAAAAGAAATAAGCTCAGAACACATCCTATTATACCTCTATGTTCCAGTTATGCTGTTCCAAGGTATGGCGACACTGATCCATAGATTCGATGCCAGTGAGATCCTGAAAAGAAGGATGAAAACAAGTTACTTAGAGAAAAACCAACAGTATACGTGTGAGTATTTTTACGCCATATACTGCTAGGAAAATACACTAAAAAATGTTAAAAGTGAGTGTTAAAGTATGGTAAAACTTCACCGATTCAGAATTTATACAGTCAGCTGACTGTTCTAGATGCGTAAAGAACTAAAAAAATGATAATTCCTTTTAAAACTTCAAGGCTTTCAATTAAGAGGAGTACTGACTAAGATCAATATTCTCCTCTCAAATTCAAGTTTAAAAAATTAAAGATTTTTCAACCTGTGGGCTAAGCAAAATATTATTTAATGCTAAACAGCTATTCTGTTGATAGTACAGGTTGAGCATCCCAAATCTGAAACCTAAAATGCTCCAACATTTTTTGAAACATTTTGAGTGCTGACATGTCTCAAAGGAAATGCATAGTGGAACATTTCAGATTTGAGATGCTCATTCAGTAAAACGTAAATATTCCAAATTCTCAAAACAATCCAAATCTGAAACACTTGTGGTTCCAAGCATTTTAGATAAGGAATACTCAACCTCTACATAATGATGTAATGCACCTTTCCTGTAAAACGTCATGCCTTTCATTAACTTATTTCATTTTATATACTGGTATTAACCTAGTTTATAATATGAACTGTGTAAAACCTAACATACCGACCCCCCTACCCCCCGCCACTTTTTTTTCGAGACAGGGTCTTGCTCTGTCATCCAGTTTGGAGTGCAATAGCGCAATGACTGCTCACTGCAGTCTCAACTTCCCAGACTGAAGCGATCCTCCCGCCTCAGCCTCCTGAGTAGCTGGCACTGCAGGTGTGCACCACCACACCCAGCTAAATTTTGGATGTTTTTTGTAAAGACGGGATCTCTCTATATTCCCCAGGCTGGTCTCCAACTCCTGGGCTCAAGCAATCCTCTTGCCTTGGCCTCCCAAAGTGCTGGGATTATAGGTGTGAGCCACTGCAGTTACAGTATTTTCTCACTATTTCCGTTCAGATGTCCAATATTCAGCAAATCTAACAGTTCATGTATACATCTCATGCCCAGAATTTCCACAGAGCTAAACTCTAGCATTCCTTCAAAGTCTAATATAAAAGCCAAAACCATCCATCTAATCCATCCATCCTTTCATTTGACAAATGTGTGCTACATGCCTATTCTGTACAGCACTAACTTACTATGTTGGAGGGACAGAAAATGAATAAGATGTAGTCTCTATCCTCAAGAAACTCCTCTAAACAACCAGTAAGCTTCAGGGCAAAGAGACTGATCTCAACCTGACAAGAATGTAGTAGTATGGACTGATGAGTCTGAAAACTGAAGTTCTTGCCTAATTCTGCACCCCATGGCCACGGACAGGCACATTTTAACTCTGAATTTAGTTTCCTTTATGTGCAATGTGAAGGGTTTAATGTGGAATGCATTTCTTTTCCAGAGCTTAAAAAAATGAAACAAAATTCAAAAACTGAAATTCGGATTTTTAGGTATACAAGTTTTCATTTTTTATAATTACACATGTAGTACAAAAACTTGCAATAAAAAATGTTAATGTTTAAAATGCTGAAATAGAAAAGTTCCTTTAAGAACCACTGGCTTTGACAGTTCTGAGTCTGGATTTTAGGTCCTGACCATTACAGGACTCTTCACATTTGCCTATTCCCTTCTGGCTTCTAATAGGACCCCCTTAACTTTCAGTGTCCTACATTACAACCCACTAAAGGACTGGGATGTCCAGGGTTCCTCCTTCTCGCTGTGGATTCTCTTTAAGAATTGGACTCTAGGCCAGGCATGGTGGCTCACGCCTGTAATCCCAGCACTTTGGGAGGCTGAGGTGGGCGGATCACATGAGGTCAGGAGTTAGAGACCAGCCTGGCCAACATGGTTAAAACCCCACCTCTACTTAAAAAAAAAAAAAAAAAAAAGGCCGGGCACGGTGGCTCATGCCTGTAATCTCAGCACTTTGGGAGGCCGAGGCGGTCAGATCATGAGGTCAGGAGATCCAGACCATCCTGGCTAACACAGTGAAACCCCGCCTCAACTTAAAAAAAAAAAAAAAAAAGGCCGGGCACGGTGGCTCACGCCTGTAATCTCAGCACTTTGGGAGGCCGAGGCGGGCGGATCACGAAGTCAGGAGATCGAGACCATCCTGGCTAACATGGTGAAACCCCGTCTCACTAAAAATACAAAAAATTAGCCGGGCATGGTGGTGGGCGCCTGTAGTCCCAGCTACTCAGGAGGCTGAGGCAGGAGAATGGCGTGAACAAGGGAGGTGGAGCTTGCAGTGAGCTGAGATAGCGCCACTGCACTCCAGCCTGGGTGACAGAGGAAGACTCCATCTCAAAAAAAAAAAAAAAAAAAAAAATTAGTTCAGCATGGTGGTGCTGCGTGCCTGTAGTCCCAGATACTCTCGGGAGGCTGTGGTGGGGGAATCGCTTGAACCCAGGAGGCAGAGGTTGTGGTGAGCCGAGATCATGCCAATGCCCTCCAGCCTAGGTGACAGAGCGAGACTCCATCTCAAAAAAAAAAAAAAAAAAAAAAAGGGACTCTAATCTTACCATCTTCCCCAGTGTGCAAATGACTGCTCCCTCCTCTAAATACCAAAATTGTTTTCTACGTCTCTTATGTGCCTATTGTTTCCTATCTTATGATTATTTACATTCATTCTATTGCCTTCTCAGAGGGTGTAATGTAAGTTCTCTGAGAGCAGGGAACAATTCACTGTAATATTCACTAGTACCAGGCACACACTATGGGCTTAAATCGTAGAAGAATCAGTCCAAGTTAAAAGGACCTTTTTGTATAAGCTTCAGTCATCATAGCTATAAGCTGAAATCCTCTAGATATTATCACAAAATCTCACTTTACATTAATACACTGTTTTTTTTGTTTTGCTTTGTTTTTTTAAGACAGGTTCTGTCTGGCTCTGTTGTCCAGGCTGGAGTGCAGTGGAACGATCTTGGCTCACTTGCAACCTCTGTCTCCCGCTCTCAAATGATCCTCCCATCTCAGCCTCCGAGCAGCTGGAACCACAGGTGTGCGCCACCACACTTGGCTAATTTTTCTATTTTTCTTGGGTAGAGACAGGATTTCACCATGTTGCCCAGGCTGGCCTTGAACTCCTGGGCTCAAGCGATCCTCCCGCCTTGGCCTCCCAATGTGTTGGGATTATACACGTGAGCCACCATACCTGGTTACTGGGGTTTTTTAACTTCAAATGTTCTGACTAGATGCCAAGCTGGTTGTTAAAACATTACAAATTTGTAGAATTTTCCTGAAAATCAGTAAGTCAGGAAAGAGCTCAGGAAGCAGTGTTTGTTCTTAAAGCTCCTCAGCTGATTCTAATGTACAGCCGAGCTGGGAAATCCGTGGTATTGATAGTAATTCTTTTTTTTTTTTTTTAGACGAAGTCTCGCTCTTGTCCCCCAGGCTGGCGTGCAATGGCACGGTCTCGGCTCACTGCAACCTGCGCCTCCTGGGTTCAAGTGATTCTCCTGCCTTGGCTCCCCAAGTAGCTGGGATTACAGGTGGCTGCCACCACGCCTGGCTAGTTTTTGTATTTTTAGTAGGGACGAGGTTTCACCAGGCTGGTCTCGAACTCCTCACCTCAGGTGATCCACCCGCCTCGGCCTCCCAAAGTGTTGGGATTACAGGCGTGAGCCACCGTGCCCGGCTGGTATTGATATGTAATTCTAAGTAGGAATAGAGATTATAAATCCCTCACTAAAGTAACTTTTAGGCTACGCACAGTGGCTCACACCTGCAATCCTAGCACTGTGGGAAGCCAAGGTGGGTGGATCACTTCAGCCCAGGAGTTAAGACCAGCCTGGCCAATATAGAGAAACTCCATCTCTATAAAAAATACAAAAAAAATTAGCCGGGTGTGGTGGTGCGCCTGTAGTCCCAGCTACTCAAGAAGGATCATCTATTCAGGATCACCTGAGCCTGAGGAGGTCAAGACTGCAGTAAACTGCGCCACTGCACTCCAACTTGGGCAACAGAGAGACCTCATCTCAATAATAATAATAATAACCTTAAATAAATGGTTATAAACATTGCAGGAGAGAACAGAGTGACTGCCATCTTTAATATACTGAAACACTTAACCTAATTTATAACCAAAACACTTTTTAAGTAGTGAAGCAGGGTGAGCTGGAAACCCAACTGAACAAGCCTGCTTTCAATTACTACTGATCAGTACTAAAACTATGCCCTAGAAATAAGTGATGCTGGACACACCTGGGACAGGATTATTCATTCATATATCAACATACATTCACTATATATCCAGGATACAGATACAGTCCCTGCCCTGTTTAAATTTTCATCCTAGTAAATGGAGACTGGTCAAAACAAACCACACATACTGAAGAAAATACACTAACAAAATTTTCATTTTGTTCTAGAAGATTCCTTTAGATTGGGTGCTCAAGGAAAGCTTCCTCAAGGAGATAATATTTGAGCAGAGATCTGAATGAAAGATAAGGGGCCAGTCATGGGGAAATATCTGGGAAGAGTATTCCAGGCAGAAGGCCAACATATGCAAAAACTGTGAGACAGATAAAAACCCACAGACCTTTACAGCAGAGTGAACCTTAATGTATGTAAATTTAAAAAATCATTTAAGAGATCAGAGGCTCTCCGGATGGAACACAGACTTTGACAAAAGAATCTAATTGTCTAGAAAATATGTGAAACAACCTCACCAAAGGGGGAAGGGGGGTGCTAAGAAACTTTGGAAATGAAGTCTATAAGACTAAAGGCAACAGGAACTACACTTAAGCACTGTTCTCTACTTGATAAGGTTTTTCTCCATGGGAATACGTATTCTGAAGCCACTATATCTGCATATGTATCCCAGATTTGAACAATTAAGTAAAAAGATGGTGAATGATGAAAGCCAGTTTTCTGTCTGTAGAAGTGAGAGGTGACAGATAACCAAAGGAAGAAGGCTAGAATGGATAGAGTGGTAATGGATAGAATTGGAAACATCAACTCATGTTTAGCTTAATATAGATACAGATGACTGCATACAGAAAAACTTAGTTTAGTATACATACATGTACATCCCTTGCTCAGTCAGCTGAAAGGTCCTACAAGCCACAACATCCCAGTAGCAAGCACACCCAATGCCTAGAACTTGGTTTCTAATACCATTCTCTAATAAAAAGAATCAGGGCTCCTTGGAGAAGTGGCTGATTCTAGGACTGGGGCCGGAAATATATAAGATGTGCCTAGAGAATCTTGTGGTCAAAAGGATAAAGGAGGCTGGGAGTGGTGGCTCATGCCTGTAATCCTAACACTTTGGGAAGCCAAGGTGGGAGGACTGCTTGAGGCCAGGAGTTCAATACTAGCCTGGGCAACACAGCAAGATCTCATCTCTACCAAGAAAAACAAAGGATAGAGGAGTCAACTGAAAAAGATCCCAGTGACTAAAGCTCGAACAATTTTAGCAATAAAATAAATACGCATGATATAAATACATGGCTGAATAAATAAACTGGGGAGAATAGAAAAATATCCTGTGCAGAAGAATTCCAAGTAACTTATATAGATATTTTACCTTTACCTTCAAGGAAGTAGAACATAACTTTTCATTCCTTCCCAGGATGGGCTAGGCATGATGACTTCCTTCCAAAGAGTACAGAACGGAAACAGGGCAGGGGGATTAACAGTGGAGAAACCTGACCAACGCTACTGCAGCTAGGTGATCAAGGCCAAAACATCGACAGTGATAAAGCATGCTGAGAGCACCTTTGATTTGATGTAGTGAAAATCGTGCTTTACCTCTGTAATCTTCCTGCCAAAAACCCATAATCCCAGCCCCAATTATGAGAGAAACATTAGGCAAATATCAATTGAGAAATATTCTACAAAATACCTGACTGGTACTCCTGAAAACTGTCAAGGTCACCAAAAACAATAAAAGCTCAAGAAACTGTCACAGCCCAGAGGAACCTAAGATGTGACTACTAAATGGCATGTAGTACCCTAAATGGGATCCTGGAACACAAAAAGAGTATCAGGTAAAAACTAAGAGAATCAGAATAAAGAAAGGACTTTTGTTAATAATAGTGTATCAATATTGGTTCATCAATTTTGACAAGTGTACCATACTAATAATGCAAGGTGTTAATAAGAAACATTCAGCATGAGATTTTTAGGAATTTTCTATATTATCTTCACAATTTCCTGTTAATCTAAATCTCTCCTAATGACAAGTTTATTTAAAAAGTAAAACAAAACTTGAAGGAGGGAGGAAACAAGAAGGGAGGAAACATTGGAGACAGAACCAGCTTGGCAAGTTGACAGATAAGGTCTGAGAAGTAGGCAGGGGAAAGATCATTCATTTCAGGCAATATTTTTCCATTTTACCTGTATAAGAACCATATGAGCCCTATTTTTCTTTCTTTCTTTTTTCTTTCTTTCTTTTCTTTTTTTTTTTTTTTTGTAGAGATGAAGATTTCACTATGTTGAACAGGCTGGTCTCAAACTCCTGGCCTCAAGCAATCCTCCCACCTCAGCCTCCCAAAGCATGAGCCACCATGGTGGGCCTGTATGAAGGAACTTTTTAAAAAATGCTACAAGCCGGGTGCAGTGGCTCATTACCTGTAATCCCAGCATTCTGGGAGGCCAAGGTAAGAGGATCACTTGGGCCCAGAAGTTCAAGACCATCCTGAACAACATAGCAAGACCCTGTTCTCTGCTTAAAAAAAACAAAAACAAGCTGGGCGTGGTGGATCACGCCTGTAATCCCAGCACTTTGGGAGGCTGAGGTGGGCAGATCATGAGGTCAGGAGTTCGAGACCAGACTGACCAACATGGTGAAACCCCATCTCTACTAAAAATACAAAAATTAGCTGGGCACGGTGGTGTGCGCCTGTGATCCCAGCTACTCAGGAGGCTGAGGCAGGAGAATCGCTTGAACCCGGGAGACGGAGGTTGCAGTGAGCTGAGAAAGCAGTGAGCTGAGATAGCACCACTGTGCTCTAGCCTGGGAGACGGAGTGAGACTCTGTTTCAAAAAAATAAAAAAAAAAACTCAAAACAAATTAAAACCCTACAGATGTCTGGACCCTCCAATCCAAACAATTTAACCAGATTCTCTGAAGGTAGTGCCTAGGAAAAGGTCATGTTTATTTCCTATAGGGAAAGGGAACTTAACACAGGTGATGAGAATGTACAGATAGGGGCTGGGCATGGTGGCTCACACCTGTAATCCCAGCACTTTGGGAGACCGAGGGGGGCGAATCACGAGGTTAGGAATTTGTGACCAGCCTGGTGAAACCCCGTCTCTACTAAAAATACAAAAAATTAGCTGGGCATAGTGGCGGGTGCCTGTAATCCCAGCTACTGGGGAAGCTGAGGCAGGAAAACTGCTTGAACCCGGGGGGCGGAGGTGGTTGCGGTGAGCCAAGATCGCACCACTGCACTCCAGCCCAGGTGACAGACAGAGTGAGACTCCATCTCAAAAAAAAAAAAAAAAGAGGCCGGGCGTGGTGGCTCATGCCTGTAATCCCAGCACTTTGGGAGGCCGAGGTGGGCAGATCACCTGAGGTCAGGAGTTCGAGACCAGCCTGGCCAACATGGTGAAACCCCGTCTCTACTAAAAATACAAAAATTAGCCAGGCATGGTGGTGGGCACCTGTAATCCCAGCTACTCAGGAGGCTGAGGCAGGAGAATCACTTGAACCCGGGAGGCAGAGTTTGCAGTGAGCTGAGATCGTACCACTGCACTCCAGCCTGGGCAACAAGAGCAAAACTCTGTCTCAAAAAAAAAAAAAAAAAAAAAAAAGAATGTACAGAGAGGGATGAGAATCACTAACCCAGACCCTTCATTCTAAATTTAGTGCCAGTGACATGTGACATGATCATATGCACATTTTAAAGTAAGTCATTCCTGTTTGCATATGAAGTAATTGTAGAAGGCATGAAAGACAGCAAGACACCAGCAAGATTATATAGATGAAGTCCAGGGAAAAGAGAATGATGGCATAGAATAGAATGACAGCAGTGAAACAGAAAATGGACATATTTGGGGTTTATTTTAGAGGTAGGGCCAAAAGGATCAGGTGATAGATTAAACATGTGGGGGTGGAAGAGAAATATTAAGGTGTACTCATAGGCTTAAGCAAATGGAATTATGGTGTTATTTACAAAGAACGAGGTAAGCTATTTGCCTTTGTGAGAAATTTTTATGTATGGTAAAGTAAATCTATCTAAAAAGAACAAGAGATATATAATCCCTCATTGCTAAATTTGAGTGGCTTTAAAAAAGTAAAAAGAATGGGAAAAAGTGGAAATAGACTGCCAGATGAAGGTAAAAACACTATTTCATCACATTAAATGCATTGTGTGAGAACTACCTGACCTCACTGCTAGTCAGCAGGATCGTTTTCCAGTGATCTCTTAAAAAAGCCAAAGTAAGCTAGTGTGCTGAACTCATTTGGCATTCACTGTCTGTAAACAGTTGCATTCATAACTCAGACAGGGTTGGTTACCTGGGTTTTCTATCAGTTTTTGTGTGTGTGTGAGTGTGTTTTTAAACCTAGTATAAGTTAGGTAAAGTTTATTTATTCATTTATATGTTTGGAGACAGAGTTTCGCTCTTTGTTGCCCAGGCTGGAGCGCGATGGCGCGATCTTGGCTCACCACAACCTCCACCTCCCGGGTTCAAGTGATTCTCCTGCCTCAGCCTCCCGCGTAGCTGGCATTACAGGCATGCGCCACCACGCCCCGCTAATTTTGCATTTTTAGTGCACACCGGGTTTCTCCATGTTGGTCAGGCTGGTCTCGAACTCCCGACCTCAGGTGATCCGCCCGCCTCGGCCTCCCAAAGTGCTGGGATTATAGGCGTGAGTCACCGCACCCGGCTGGTAAAGTTTAAATATTAGAGAAAGATTAGAAATGGGGTAGCGTGAGAGGCTACCCTGTGGTGGTTCCAACCATTAGTAATACAACTGGTTTACATTTACAAATTTCCTTCTAGTTCCCCACACTCCAAGGAAAGGTTTAGGGCTTGATTCAACCTCTTTTACAATTAAATAAAATTATTATAGGGGAAACTGTCTAATGGTCTTTTCTTCTCCATTCTAGACTGTATGCATGCTGAGGAAAATCCATTCATCTCTGCCTTTGATCTTTACAGGAATCTTCTGGTGTTTTCTCTCCTGGCTGGAAAACCAACTTTTCCACCCCACCCTCTCACATCACTACATACAAGTCAAGGTTTGAGGAGCCTTCTCTATTTTCTCTTACCTGTGTGAGACTCCTCTCTTTCAGATATTTATAATTTTGCACATTATTTTACGAAATACTCCCTTCAAACTCTTCATAAACTTAATACACTCTTCATAACCATGGTTATACAATACTCTAACTGGCTACAACAATTTACATATAGATGTTACGGCTGCTTCCAATTTTCACTATTAAAATAGCACTATGATGAACACTACTATTTATAAAGTTTGCCTCTATTTAGGATTTCTTCTGGATCTAGGTAAAACTTGGAGCCAAAGAATATACATTATTTTTAAAGTTCTTGACCCACAGTGCCAAAATGCATTTCGAAAGGACTATTCCAATTTACACTGGAAGGGCTGGATTCAACATAAGTCAAATGCTAAGTATGTCTCAAGCCAATATTCATTGCCATTTCAGTGCCAACCTAAGTTTTGCAATGCCAGCTTTGTTCAGAGAGAAAGAATATTGCAGTTTTGGCTGGAGACATTCCATTAGCTTTGCTACCAATTCTCTGCTCAGCAATAAAATAATGTTTGGCTATCAGCATTTCTGGAAGAGAGGTAAAACAGAGAAGCAGAGGAATGTTAGACTTAACATCAGTCACAGGCTTCAACTTCCTACTAATTTCTTCAGAACTCCAATTATAATTCTTTTTCTACAATTTTTTATTTTTATTTTTAGAGATGGAGTCTCGCTCTGTCGCCCAGGCTGGAGTACAATGGTGTGATCTCGGCCCACTGCAACCTCTGCCTCCTGGGTTCAAGTGATTCTCCTACCTCAGCCTCCCGAGTAGCTGGGATTACAGGCACATGCTACCACGCCCAGCTAATTTTTGTATTTTTAGTACCGACAGGGTTTCACCATGTTGGCCAGGCTGGTCTCGAACTCCTGACCTCAGGTGATGCATCCACCTTGGCATCCCAAAGTGCTGGGACTATAGGTATGAGGCACCACGCCCAGCCTAAAATTTTTTATATTTTTTACAGACAGGGTCTCTCTGTCACTCACTCTGGAGTACAGTAGCATGATCATAGCTCACTGTAACCATCTGCTCCTGGGCTCAAGTACTCCTTCTGCCTCAGCCTCCCAAGTAGCTAGGACTACAGGCACGTACCACCATACCCACCTTTTTTTTTTTTGTTTTTTTGGGGGCTAGATTGGTGGGGTCCCACTATGTTGCTCAGCCTGGTCTTGAACCTCCTTGCCTCAGGTGATCCTCCCACTTCAGCCTCCCAAAGTGGTGAGATTACAGGTGTGAACCAATGTGCCCAGCTCCATAATTCACTTTTAAAAGGAACTTTCTTTTGAGGAGGGAATCTATTTACTTCTATTTTTCTTTTTGAGACGGAGTCTTGCTCTGTCGCCCAGGTTGGGATGCAGTGGCGTGATCTCGGCTCACTGCAAGCTGCGCCTCCCGGGTTCACACCATTCTCCTGCCTCAGCCTCCCGAGCAGCTGGGACTGCAGGCGCCCACGACCACGCCCGCCTAATTTTTTGTATTTTTAGTAGAGACGGGGTTTCACCGTGTTAGCCAGGATGGTCTTGATCTCCTGGCCTAGTGATCCACCTGCCTCGGCCTCCCAAAGTGCTGGGATTATAGGCATGAGCCACTGCGCCCAGCCTCTATTTACTTCTATACTCCCAAGACCCAGTGCAATGCCTTGGCATAAAATAGGAAATGTCTGAATAAATGAATGAATCCTTCCTCAGTCTAACAATCAACTTTTGTTTATATCTCTCTAGTTTCTTTTCTTTTCTTGAGACAGATTCTCACTCTTGTCGTCCAGGCTGGAGTGTAGTGGCAAGATTTCAGCTCACCACAATCTCCGCTTCCAGGGTTCAAGTGATTCTCCTGCCTCAGCCTCTCAAGTAGCTGGGATTGTAAGTGCCCACCAACACACCCGATTAATTTTTGTATTTTTAATAGAGACAGGGTTTCACCATGTTGGCCAGGCTAGTCTTGAACTCCTGACCTCAGGTGATCTGCCACCCTCAGCCTCCCAAAGTGCTGGGATGACAGGTGTGAGCCACCACACCCAGCCTTCTAGTTTCTTAAACACTGATCTTCTCATTATTACACATTTATTCCTACTCTGTGTCAGGAACTAACATAGCTAATCTTCACATTTTCCTCAACAATCCTGTAAGACAGATATTGCTATCTTGCCCATTATCAATTGAGAATACTGAATCTTTGAAAAGAATTATGTCAAAGTATCCCATACCAATTTGGGTATACAGTAAGTGCTTAATAAAGGTCAGCTAAAACTGGCATGCTCTTTAGAACTCTGGTTTACATTAAGATCTACTGACATCTGGCTGGGCGTGGTGGCTCACGCCCATAATCCCAGAACTTTGGGAGGCCAGGAATTTGAGACCAGCCTGGCCAACATGGCAAAACCCGGTTCTGTATAAATACAAAAAAGTTAGCCAGGTGTGGTTGTGCATGCCTGTAATCTCTAGCTACTCGGGTGGCTGAGGCACAAGAATCGCTTAAACTTGGGAGATGAAGGTTGCAGTGAGCTGAGATGGCACCACTGCACTCTAGGCTGGGCAAAAAGGGCGACACTGACTCAAAAAAAAACCAAAAAAAACCAAAAAAAGTCTACTGACATCTAAGGTGGCTTGAGATAGCATTGTACAAATTAGCTGCAATGGATACAAAGGTTAACTATGGCACCCCCTTCTCTCTCTAATCTTTCAGGGCCGAGTGTCTAATGTCATCAATTGCTACCATAAATCCCCCACTGGTCTGGGACAGACAAGTGACCAAAAAAAAAAAAAAAAAAAAAAAAGGAAAAAAAAAACAGCCATTGGGCAGGCCCATCCCAGTCTGTCTTACTGAGAAAAATCCCTTGCTCCGTGATCCTTTCCCTCCTTCCTCCTCCCTTCAGAGATGACTCCCCTTCCATAAACTGACTTCCCAAGGATTTTGGAGAGCACTGCATTTAATTACAGAAGTTAAAAATGTAATTGCCTGATAGTATCAGTGGGAGAAAGGCATTATTTACTTTTGGGGCATCTTACTAGAGACTGAACCCCAATCAATCTCTAGTAAAATGCACAGGGGAGACTGGGGAAGTGTGTGAACTATTCTATACTACTTTCCTACTTCAGCTTTGGTCAAACATCTTGTAAAATGTATACGGGAGATTGCAGAAGTGTGTGAACTACTTTCCTACTGCAGCTTTGGTCAAACTTCCTCCTCTCCCAAGTCAGAAGACAAGAAGGTGTCAGTCACTTGCAGACTAGCTTTCGAAATACTGTGATCCCGATCTATCTCTTGCTAAAGCATGACTCAAAGAAGGTATCACAAACAATAATAGATGGTGTGTAGTATTTTAACCAGATGGCTCAAACAGCTATTTGGATAGGGATTGGGTAACCAGGGTGTAATCTCCTCATTTTCCTAAGTGGAGTTTATCTTTCCATATCTCATCTGTTTATACTAACAAACGCTGCACGGGGTTGGTGTGAAATCTCAGCTGAGATTTAAGTACTCTCTAAATTCCAATTGGCTTGTTGGTTTTAGCTTGCTAAGAATGCATATTTTAGGTCTTGTTTTCAGTTATTCCCAGAGAGAAACTTGGCAAAAACTAGGAATCTTTGTTCTCTCCTTCCGACCACACAGACAGCTTTGCTTTGCTTTATGTAATAGGCAGTATGCCTTCTCTGATAGTAGCAGGAGAAATGAAATCTGAAATCTGTTCAGGAAATTAAGTGATCATGGCTAGGCTCTGATCTAAAGTAATTTAAACTCTTACACACACTCAGATCTTTATTATTCACATTTAATTACTGATACTCCAAATTAAGTACCAGCAGCTCCCATTTACTAAACATCTATTACCGTGTAATAAAACAGATACTGTAAGTATTGAAACCCTTATTTTCATCACTGAGAAAGCCAAAGATTCAAAAAGTTACACGCCTTGTCTAGGAATATCTAGATAATGGTAAATGGTGGAGTGAAGACTGAAATCTAGATTAATTACTTCCAAAGTCCAGATTCTCTCTCATGCCAAAATGCCTCCCATTATTACTTGAAATCGTTTTCTTTTCTTTTTTGAGATGAAGTCTTGCTCTGTTGCCCAGGCTGGAGTGCAGTGGCACGATCTCGGTTCACTGCAATCCCTGCCTCCTGGGTTCAAGTGATTCTCCTGCCTCAGCCTCCCAGGTACCCATTACAGGCATGAGCCACTGTGCCCAGCTAAAATAGCTTTCAGTAAATCCTTAATTCAGAAAATTTCAATTTCTGGGCTGGGCATGGTGGCTCATAACTGTAACTTCAGCACTTTGGGAGGCCAAGGAGGGCAGATCACCTGAGGTCAGGAGTTTGAGACCAGCCTGGCCAACATGGTGAAACCCTGTCTCTACTAAAATACAAAAATTAGGCAGGCATGGTGGCAGGTGCCTGCAATCTCAGCTACTCAAGAGGTTGAAGCAGGAGAATTGCTTGAATCCAGGAGGTGGAGGCTGCAGTGAGCCAAGATTGTGTCATTGCACTCCAGCCTGGATGACAAGGGCCAAACTCCAACTCAAAAAAAAAAAAAAAAAAGAAAGAAAAAGAAAATTTCAGTTTCTTTATTGTATATACTAGTAGCTGAATATCAGCCCACAGACGTATATAAAACTGTTCTCCTTTAGGCACAAGATCAACAAACATGTTGATACAGTTTTTCTCTATGGACAAAGGGTTTGGGGTCAAATAAGACTAGAAAATGGTACATATCTGGCCAGGCTCTGTGGCTCACGCCTGTAATCCCAGCACTTTGGGAGGCTGAAGCGGCCAGATCACTTGAGGTCTGAAGTTCAAGACCAGCCTGGCCAACATGGTGAAACCCTGTCTCTACTAAAAATACAAAAATTAGCTGGGCGTGGTAGTGGCGCATGCCTATAATCCCAGGTATTCAGGAGGCTGAGGCAAGAGAATCACTTGAGCCTGGAAGGCGGAGGTTGCAGTGAGCTGAGATCATACCACTGCACTCTAGCCGGGGCGATACAGCGAGACTCTGTCTCAAAAAAAAAGAAAGTGCCTATCAAATACCTCTTTTCAAATACCCCTTTTAGAAATCTGCAATATAATCTTGTAAAGGCTTTGAAAGGTTCTGCTTCTAGAAAAAAAGAAAATTTAACCTCACAACTTCACATAAGGGAAGGTCTTTAAAAAAAAAAAAAACTAATATCCCTTGAAGAATTTTCACTTAGAATCAGTTTGGCAGCCTGGCAACACAGTGAGACCCATCTCTACAGAAAATAAAAACATTAGCCGGGCATGGTGGTACATGCATGTAGTCCCAGCCACTTGGGAGGCTGATGTGGGAGGGTCACTTGAGTCCGGGAGGTCGAGGCTACAGTGAGCTATGGTTGTGCCACTGTACTCCAGCCCAGGTGACAGAGCAAGACCCTGTCTCAAAAAAAAAAAAAAAAAAAAAAAGAATCAGCTTGGAAACACCAGAAATGGAACCAAATGGTCTGTGCAAATCAAGATATAACCATATCTTAATCTTAAATAATAGATTCTCAAATATTTGATAACTGATTAGACCCAAATGGCATTACACAAGTGTGGATGTTTACTGTATAAATATTCGAATATACATAAATACCACATGAATAAACATTTCCAAAAAAACCCCCCACAATATTCTTTATCCAAGCAATTAAAATAGGTGGGGGCTGGGTGTGGCAGCTCACACCTGTAATCCCAACACTTTGGGAGGCCAAGGCAGGAGGCCTTAAGGCCTTAAGGACAGCCTGGGAAACACGGTGAGACCCTGTCTCTACAAAAAAAAGAAACAAAAAAAAGAATAAGTGGAAGAAGTGGCTGAGCTTTGTTGGAAAGTTAGAGACACAAGCAATTTTAATTTGTGTAGCAGCAATAGAAAAATTTAAGGCCCGGCACAGTGGCTCACGCCTGTAATCTCAGCACTATGGGAGGCTGAGGCAGGCAGATCACTTGAGGTCAGGAGTTCGA
Source organism: Homo sapiens (assembly GCF_000001405.40). Classification (NCBI taxonomy): domain Eukaryota; kingdom Metazoa; phylum Chordata; class Mammalia; order Primates; family Hominidae; genus Homo; species Homo sapiens. The sequence goes on along the minus strand of NC_000005.10, from coordinate 176,463,947 downwards.
GACCAGCCTGGCCAACATGGTGAAACCCCGTCTCTACTAAAACTACAAAAATTAGCCAGGTGTGGTGGTGAGCACCTGTAATCCTAGCTACACAGGAGGCTGAGGCAGAAGAATCACTCAAACCCGGGAGGCGGAGGTTGCAGTGAGCCAAGATCACGCCACTGCACTCCAGCCTGGGAAACACAGCAAGACTCTGTCTCAAGGAAAAAAAAAAAAAAAAAAACATGCAATAACCCTTTATTCTAATTCTACCACGCACTAGCTTCGTAACCTCAGGCATCTTTCTTAGGTTTAGCTTCCTCACTGGTAAAATGTAAATAAAAATAGTGCTTAGTTCCTTGGGTTGTGCAGATTAAAACAGGTTAGCTAATATTACTATTGAGAAACATGAGGTCTTCCAGAATCTGAGTCAGGAAAAAAAAGAAACATGAAGGACACATTAAGGAGACATTTGTAAAGCACTGTGAGATGAGTCTGAACTAGCTTAAAAGGTTCTGAAGTAATACAATTAGATTTTGGGGGAACCAAATAAATTATCTTTCATTAATTCCTTTTTTTTTTTTGAGATGGAGTCTCACTCTGTTGCCCAGGCTGGAGTGCAGTGATACCTCTTGACTCACTGCAACCTCTGCCTCCCGGGCCAAGCGATTCTCCTGTTTCACCCTCCCGATTACAGGAGTCTGCCACCATGCCTGGCTAATTTTTTTTGTATTCTTAGTAGAGACGGGGTTTTGCTATGTTGGCCAGGCAGGTCTCAAATTCCTGACCTCAGGTGATCCACCCGCCTCAGCCTCCCAAAAGTGCTGGGATTACAGGCATGAGCCACCAGGCCTGGCCCCTATTAATTCCTATTCTAGTATTGATTCTTTCACTTAACAGACTTAATTCCACTAAAACAAACACAAACAATAAGTATGTTGGCTATATTCAACCTTTCCTAAATGTGACTTTACCGCTCAGATTCAAGCAGAAACGTTGTTTCAAGAGAAATGAAGGTATTTCTGTTATCCTCTTTGTGAAAAACACTATAGCGAAGCAAACTTTATTGGTCCTCCAAAAATAATCTAATAATTTGACCTTGTCTGTTCCCTGCCCATCCCTCACCCCTTCTAGGCTGACAAATTCTGCCATTATGTTTCAAAATAGCTTGAAATCACACCCCTAGAATTTCACATGCATAAGATGTGTATATATTAGCAAAATTTAATGTCAAGTCACAAAATGTTAAAAATTTATCACTTTTCAATCTTAAAACTTGACATGAGAGGATGCTCTAGGATTTAGATTCAACTATTTATTAAACATCTATTTTATTTTATTTTTTTGAGACGGAGTCTTGCTCTGTCGTTAGGCTGGAGTGCAGTGGCGCGATCTCGGCTCACTGCAACCTCCGCCTCCCGGGTTCGAGTGATTCTCCTGCCTCAGCCTCCCAAGCAGCTGGGACTACAGACATGCGCCACCACGCCCGGCTAATTTTGGTATTTTTAGTAGAGATGGGGTTTCACCATGTTGGCCAGGATGGTCTCGATCTCTTGACCTCATGATCTGCCTGCCTTGGCCTCCCAAAGTGCTGAGATTACAGGCATGAGCCACTGTGCAGTCTATTAAATATCAATTAACCAAGCACTATAGTATGTGTTTTCTGATCCACTCTTTTTTCTTGTTTTGTTTGGAGACAGAATCTCACTCTGCCACCCAGGCTGGAGTGCAATGTTGCGATCTCGGCTCATTGCAACCTCTGTCTCTTGGGTTCAAGCAATTCTCCCGCCTCAGCCTCTCAAGTAGCTGGGACTACAGGCGCTTGCCACCACGCCTGGCTGATTTTGTATTTTTAGTAGAGATGGGGTTTCACCACATTGGCCAGGCTGGTCTCGAATTCCTGACCTCGGGTGATCCTCCCACCTCAGTCTCATAAAGTGTTGGGACTACAGGTGTGAGACACTGCACCTAGCTTTTCTGATGCTTACTTCTAACACCCCTGTAAAGTTTAAAAATATTAATCATTAAATGTAAGACCTAAAACTATAAAAATCCTACAAGAAAACCTAGTAGTATCATTCTGGACATTGGTCTTGGCAAAGAATTTATGACTAAGTCCCCAAAAACATTTGCAACAAAAACAAAAATTGGAAAGTGGGACCTAATTAAACTGAAGAGCTTCTACACAGTAAAAGAAACTATCAACAGAGTAAACAGACAAAATGGGAGAAAATCTTCGCAAACTATGAATCTGACAAAGGCCTAATATCCAGAATATATGAGAAACAATTCAACAAGCAAATAATAATAATAATAACCCCATTAAAAAAAAACTGGCAAAAGCCAGGCCGAGTGGCTCATACCAGTAACCCCATCACTAGGGGAGGCCAAGGTGGGAGGATGACTTGAAATCAGAAGTTCAAGACCAGGCTGGGCAACACAGCAAGACCCTATCTCTAAAAAAAAAAAATAAAATAAAAAAAATTAGCCCAGTGTGGTGGTGTACACCTGTAGTCCCAGCTCCTCTGGAGGCTGAAGTGGTAGGATCACTTGAGCTGGGACTCTGAGGCCACAGTGAACTATCATCACATTACTATACTTTAGCTTGAGAGATAGAGCAAGAACCTGTCTCAAAAAAAAAAAAAAAAAAAAAAAAGCTGGGCACAGTGGCTCACACCTGTAATCTCAGCACCTTGGGAGGCCGAGGTGGGTGGACTGCTTGAGGTCAGGAGTTCGAGACCAGCCTGGACAACACAGTGAAACCCTGTCTCTACTAAAAATACAAAAATTAGCTGGGCATGTTAGTATGCGCCTGTAATCCCAGCTACTCAGGAAGCTGAGGCAAGAGACATCGCTTGAACCTGGCAGGCAGAGGTTGCAGTGAGCCAAGATGGCACTACTGCACTCCAGCCTAGGCGACAGAGTAAAACATTGTCTGAAAAAAAAAAAAGAGAAGAAAAAAAGGGGAGGTGGGTGCAAAAGTACATGAACAGACACTTCTTTCTTTTTTTGAGTCAAAGGGTCTTACTCTGTCACCCAGGTTGGAGTGCAGTGGCACCATCTTGCTTGGCTCATTGCAACCTCCATCTCCCAGGTTCAAGTGATCCTCCCACCTCAGCCTCCCAAGTAGCTGGGACCACAGGCCTACACCGCCATGCCTGGTGAATCTTTTGGATTTTTGGTACAGTTGGGGTCTTGCAATGTTGCCCAGGCTGGTCTCAAACTCCTAAGCTCAAGTGATCCACTGCCTCAGCCTCCCAAAGTGCTGGGATTACAGGCGTGAGCCATCACACCCGCCTCAGACACTTCTCAAAAGACATTTACAGGGCCAGGAGGCAGAGGCTGCAGTGAGCTGAGATCATGCCACTACACTCTAGCCCAGGCAACAAAGTGAGACCCTCAGGAAAAAAAAAATACACACACACACACACACACACACACACACACACACACACGCGGCCAAAAATAGTCAACATCACTGCTCATTAGAGAAATGCAAATCAAAATCACAATGAGTTACCATTTTGTACCAGTCAGAATGGCTATTACTAAAAAGTCAAAAAATAACTAGATATTGGCAAGGCCACAGAGAAAAACGAATGCTTATATAACACTGGTGGGAATGTAAGTTAGTTTAGCCACTGTGGAAAGCAGTCTGGGGATTTCTCAAAGAACTTAAGAAAAAAACCAGAACTATCAATTGACCCAACAATCCCATTAATGGGTATACACCCAAAGGAAAATAACTCGTTCTACCAAAAAGACACACACTCATATGTTGATCACAGCATTATTCATGATAGCAAAGACATGGAATCAACCTAGATGCCCATCAACAGTGATCTGAATAAAGAAAATGTGGTACATATACACTATAGAATACCACGCACTCATAAAAAAGAACAAAATCACATCCTTTGCAGCAACATGGATGTAGCCGGAGGCCGTCATCCTAAGCAAATTAATGCAGAACCAAAAAACCAAATACCACATTCTTACTTGTAAGTAGGAGCTAAACACTGAGTACACATGGACACAAAGATGAGAACAATAGACACTGAGGACTACTAGATGGGGTAGAGTGGGAGGGGGGCAAGTGTTGAAAAATTAAACTAACTGTTGGATACTATGCTTACAATCTGGGCTATGGGATCATTCATACAACAAATCCCAGCAACAAATAATTTACTCATGTATCAAACCCACACATGTACCCCCTCATCTAAAATGAAAGTTGAAAGAAAAAACAAAACAAAACAACCACACCCACACCCACACAAATATCTATGTCATTTTGCAGATACAGAAACTGAGGCCTGGAAGGATTAAGTAACTGTCAGAGATCTCAAATTGCCAAGTTCCTAATACAGACCTCCTTCCCCTACATTGCTGCAAAGATGAGAATATGGTTAACTTTCAATGCTCAAAAAACAAACAAACAAAAAAGAAGCTGAGGCAGGCAGATCGCTTGAGCCCAGGAGTTTGAGACCAGCCTGGACAACATAATGAGACCATGTCTCTACAAAAAATAAAAATAAAAAAATTAGCTGGGTGTGGTGGCGTGGGCCTGTAGTTCGAGCTACTTGGGAGGCTGAGGTGGGAGGAGTGCCTGAGCCCAGGAGGTTGGAGCTGCAGTGAACCATGAATGAGCCACTGCACTCCAGCCTGGGCAACAGAGTGAGACCCTATCTCAAAAAGAAAAAAAAAAAAAAAAAAAAGGTTAACTGGAATTTTGGCTTTCTTCTTTCTTCTAAAAATAGGATACTTAATGCTGTTGGAATTGCTTTAACAAAGAGAAAGAGAAAAAAAAGAATCCAACAAAAAACTCTTTGGGATTGAGATTTCTGGTGAATTAGTCATTGAGCAAATATTAATTGAGCATCTATCATGCAGCAAGCACAAAGAAATCAGTTTGAACCCCCCAAAACTCTGTGGAGTTAAAAGACATGTAAATTATTTTATTATTATGACAATTACTACACACCAGTAAACAAATCCTTAAGTCCTTCAAGGAACTTATCAAGAAAGAAATCAAGGTTCTGAGCTGAAAACTAGTGGAAGGAGAAATTTCAGGACAAGGGAAGAGCAAGGGAGGCATGAGAAGGAATAACATGTTAGGGAAATTAAAAAGTATCACTGGAATAGAAATAGAAAGGGTAAAAATGTAAGGTTTGACAGTGAAGTCAGACCATGAGGTACAAAGAAAAATTTTATGCTGCTCTAATCAATACCACTCCAATTATTTTTGTTAGAAATACTGTTCTGGGCCAGGCACAGTGGCTCATGCCTGTAATCCCAGCACTTTGGAAGGCTGAGGTGGGCAGATCACGAGGTCAGGAGTTTGACACCAGCCTGGCCAACATGGTGAAACCCCATCTCTACTTAAAAAATACAAAAATTAGCTGGGTGTGGTGGCACGCGCCTGTAATCCCAGCTACTCGGGAAGCTGAGGCAGGACAATCGCTTGAACTTGGGAGGTTGCAGTGAGCCGAGATCGAGCCACCGCACTCCAGCGTGGGTGAGAGAGTGAGACTCCGTCTCAAAAAAAAAAAAAAAAAAAGGAAGAAAAAGAAAAATATTATTCTGAGGCCAGACGTGGTGGCTCATGCCTGTAATCCCAGTACTTTGTAAGGCCAAGGCAGGTGGATCACTTAAGGCCAGGAGTTCAATACCAGCCTGGCCAACATGGCGAAACCCCATCTCTACTAAAAATACAAAAATTAGCTGGGCGTGGTGGCACGTGCCTGTGGTCCCAGCTACGCAAGAAGGGGAGCTGGAAAGATGGCTTGAGTCCAGCAGGCGGAGGCTGCAGTGAGCCAAGACTGTACAATTGCACTCCAGCCTGGGCGACAGATACTCTGTCAAGGAAGAGAAGAGAAGGGAGAAGAGGAGTGAAAAGAGAAGAGAAAGAGAATAGAAATATTATTCTGGAAAAAGTAGGAAGGCTGAATTGAGAAGACTTTAAATGTGGGCTACCAGTTATACAAGTTTAGTCCAGAGGAGAAATGAAGTATAAACTGAGGCAGTGGCAATGCATATGACAAGAGGGTTAACTAAGGACTGTGACTTTTTGTGACTTTAACTCCAATAAGAATTTACAAACACACATTTAAAAATATTCCCCAGTATTTAGTATGAAAAATTGTTCTCTTTCAAATTTATTCCAGGACTGTGAGAAAGTTTTCATAATTTCCTTGGTGGAAAAGTCCAAGGCCCACACACAGGCCCCCCAAGTGTTCACGGTGATTTCTGCTATTCATCACTTCTGGCACTCTCACTAACAGTAGTATTAAACACACACACACACACACACACCCCTGAAAACAGTTCAAATCAAATAATCAGTTTTATGACTATTTCATTTTTGATACTAATTTTAAGCAAAAATACAATGTTGGAGAAACGACAACTAGAATCCTTGAATATGTGAAATAATCCTCAGATGGTCCAAAATAAAAATGACAAAATTAACGTTTATGGCCGGGCACAGTGGCTCACGCCTGTAATCACAGCACTTTGGGAGGCTGTGGCAGGTGGATCACCTGAGGTCAAGAGTTCGAGACCAGCCTGCCCAACATGGTGAAACCTTGTCTCTACTAAAAATACAAAAAAATAAGCCAGAAGTGGTGGTGGGCGCCTATAATCCCAGCAACTCTGGAAGCTGAGGCAGAAGAATCACTTGAACCTGGGAGACAAAGGTTGTAGTGAGCCAAGGTTGAGCCATTGCACTCCAGCCTGGGGACAACAGCGAAACTCCGTCTCAAAAAAACAAAACAAAAAATACTAATCTTTATCAATACCCATCTCAAAGACCTACTTCTAAAAGACTATCTGCTGTAAAGGTAATCTGTTACTCAGAGTAATCAGAATGTATACTACTTTGCAAGGTTCAGAAATATTCCTCTTAAATACTTAGAGGAGTTCATAAATATCGATGCCCAGCCCACTCTGAAAAAATAACGCATTTTGAACCAACTTGATAATAAGTGTCTGTACTTGTCAAATAAAGAAGTACCCCAAAAAAGGGAGGCCAGCAAACACTACTGAGTAAGTATGTCAAAACCTTTCCAAGATATAACTATGTTCTTGAACAGATTCAGCAACATAAAGATGTCAACTACAACCCCTGAAGTTCATTTACAAATTTCATAAAATTTCAACTTTAAAAAGTTGATTTCAAATTTCTTTTAGAGGAGCAAATAAACAGGAAAACTCTGAAAAAGAGCAACAGAGTGGAGGCAGGGGTGTTCCTCCAGATCAAAATATATCATAAGCCTCTATAATTAAGTGTTATATTGGCATATATAGGGGAAGACCAGTGGAACAGAAATTCCAGTTGAGGCTGGGTGCAGTGGCTCACACCCGTAATTCCAGCACTTTGGGAGGCCAAGGGGTGGACTGCTTGAGCTCAGGAGAGTTCCTGTTTCATTGCTGTTTTAATTTGCAATTCCTTAAGGACCTCAAATCCTTAAAGATTTGAGCATCTTTTCATATGCTTACATGCCATCTGTATATCTTTTTTGGTGAGTTGTCTGTTCTGATCTTTTCCCTACCTTTTGATTGAGTTGTTCATTTTAAGTTTTAAAAATATATTTTGGGCCGGGCACGGTGGCTCACGCCTGTAATCCCAGCACTTTGAGAGGCCGAGGTAGGCGGATCACCTCAGGTCAGGAATTCAAGACCAGCCTGGCCAGCATGGCAAAACCCCATCTCTACTAAAAATACAAAAATTAGCCGGGTGTGGTGGCACACACCTGTAATCCCAGCTACTCGGGAGGCTGAGGCAGGAGAATTGCTTGAACCCAGGAGGTGGAGGTTGCAGTGAGCTGAGATCACACCACTGCACTGCAGCCTGGGCAACAAGAGCAAAACTCTGTCTCAATCAAACAAACCCAGTCAGTCTTCATGACTACTTACCTATGCTATGCAGAGTTAAGTATAATATAATCATATCTCTATAAGACAAAGACAGAAGTTCTCTTACCCAATGAGAATGAGACCCATAACTAATCAATTAACTGAAGTCAAAGTAATAAAAATATTCATTTTAACATTTTACATGTTTTCATTTTTACATAAATGAATATTTATGTAAATATTTCATTTTAACATAAAGTACTCACATGAACATAAGTTTCTGATAAAAGCCTATCGTTTTCTTTAGGGAATGAATCCACTAGCACTCCTTGGAACTTCTTTAGTTTTTATTTTTAGTTTTTTGAGAGGGAGTCTCACTCTGTCACCCAGGCTGGAGTGCACTAGTGCGACCTTGGCTCACTGCAACCTCTGCCTCCCAGGTTCAAGCAATTCTCCTGCCTCAGCCTCCTGAGTAGCTAGGATTACAGGCACCCGCCACCAAATCTGGCTAATTTTTGTATTTTAGTAGAGATGGGGTTTCACCATGTTGGCCAGGCTGGTCTCAAACTCCTGGCCTCAGGTGATCTGCCCACCTCAGCCTCCCAAAGTGCTGGGATTACAGGCGTGCACCACTGTGCCTGGCTATTTTTTACTTTTTTTTTTGAGACAGGGTCTCACTCTGTCACCCAGGCTGGAGTGCAGTGGTGCAATCACAGCCCACTGCAGCCTTCACCTCCTAGGCTAAGGTGATGCTCCCACCTCAGTCTCCCAAGTAGCTGGGATCACAGGCCCACAGGCATGCGCCACTACGACCAGCTAATTTTTTTGTTGTAGTTTTAGTAGAGATGAGGTTTCACCATGTTGCCCAGGCTGGGATCTTTTTAGCATAACCCATACTGATTTGATTTCCTTAAGTGTAGTGCAACCTTAAACACTTGCCAAGCAGTAAGTGTACAATGTTGTATCTCAATGATTTCTCCCTAAGTCATTTACAGTTAACTTGCCCACACCTAACTAAACAACAATTTTTTTTTTTAGCAATTTCCCCAGACAGAGCCTGTTTAAAGCTTTTAATTTAGTTTTCGTATCGATGAAAACTCTTTTTGCACTGGTATTTTACAGGTTTATGTAGTGTTTAATTAAACACATGTGACAAACATAACCAGCACACACTAGTTTGGGAGCAAATATAACTGCCTCTTGTCAGGAATACAACTTGACTGGTGAGACACTTGAGTGCATTACAGAGTAGAGTTTGCAGAAATGCTTGAACATATTACAGAATAGAGTTTAGGAAAAGGAGGATATCTGCTCCAATTAATCAGTCAAGTGAAGGTTAAGGTTAAGAGAGCTTCCACATTAAGCTGTGTATGCAGAAGACAAAAATACACAAAGATAAACAACAAACCTGGAATTAGAATGGGGAAATAAAATAAGATTTGATTACTTTTTAAAATACAATTGTATGTTGCTAACTTCCAACAAGCATGTATTATTAGATTTTTTTTTTTTTTTTTTTTTTTTTTTTTTTTTTCAGACAGAATCTGGCTCTGTTGCCCAGGTTAGAGTGCAGTGGCACGATCTTGGCTCACTGGTACCTCCACCTCCTGAGTTCAAGTGATTCCCATGCCTCAGCCTCCTGAGTAGCTGGGATTACAGGCCTGTGCCACCACACTGGGCTAACTTTTTTTGTATTTTTATTTTTATTTATTTATTTTGAGACGGAGTCGCACTCTGTTGCCCAGGCTTGGAGTGCAGTGGCACGATCTCGGCTCACTGCAACCTCCGCCTCCAGAATTCAAGTGATTCTCCTGCCTTACCCTCCCGAGTAGCTGGGATTACAGGTGCATGCCACTATGTCTGGCTAATTTTTATATTTTCAGTAGATACGGGGTTTCACCATGTTTGTCAGGCTGGTCTCGAACTCCTGGCCTCAAGTGATCTGCCTGCCTCGGCCTCCCAAAGTGCTGAGATTATGGCACCCAGCCTACTAGATTTTTTAAAGTAAAAAATAAAAAGAATGTTGTGAACTAGATAATAGTATCTCCAATTTTTTTTTTTTTAGAGTCTCGCTCTTGCCCAGGCTGGAGTGCAGTGGTGCGGTCTCGGATCACTGCAACCTTCGCCTCCTGGGTTCAAGCAATTCTCCTGCCTTAGCCTTCCGAGTAGCTGGGATTATGGGCACCTGACACGACGCCCAGCTAATTTTTTTGTATTTTTAGTAGAGACGGGGTTTCACCATGTTGTCTAGGCTGGTCTTGAACTCCTGACCTCGTGATCTGCCAGCCTCGGCCTCCCAAAGTGCTTGGATTACAGGTGTGAGCCACTGCGCCCGGCCAGTATCTCCATTTTATAGAAAATGAAAGAGGTTCAAAGAAGTGAGAACCTGTTCAAGATCACAGAACTCACCATAAGCTGTTGAAAAGTTAAGTCATGTTTGCCTGGATTTTCAAAGCTCTTGTTTTCTCAACAGTGCCAAATTCTCTGGCAAAAAACCCTCAAATGGACCACTGTATGTTCTGTTTTAAATACATGAACAAAAAGCACCATGTGTTTTTTTTTCCTTTAGGTAATATAGTCAGGTGAAGCCAAAAGAAAGATTTTCAAAATGACTTATAAATTTGATTCTACAGCCCAGCGTTCAGGCTATCATTTAAAAGGATGAGGGTCATAAATTTCTTCCTCCTGTGCAAGCAGAAAAGGGATCATTTCTTCCTCTGCTGGCCTGCATAACTCCTTTAATTCCCCCTTCTCTCTGTCCATGTCATCCTTCTCCAGTTGTTCAAACAGCAACCTAGAGGCAGTAAACCAAGACACTAGGAGAGTCTGCTATATTTGGAAATTTGGGAAAATGAACGCCAATAAAAGTAACCTTCCACATACCTGCATTAGCTCTCCTTAAAACCTATGTCCTTATTCTTTCCCATCTGAAATAGCTGAAAACAATTGTCTGCAATAGTTATTCATATTCAACTGGTTCCAAAATAAACAGAAGTGGAGAACTGTAGAAAAATCCTGGAAGATATCAAATGGGCTGAGAAACATGATATGAAATAAAATGCCTTGGGGAGTTCTAACCAAATAACATCATAAAAAAATTGAAATACAGGAAACCTGAGATTTCCAAAATATTTTACTTTTACTGATTTCAATATACCAAATGAAGAAACATATTGAGAACCAACTCCTAGCAGTGTCATCCTGTTCTGTACTGACCCCTGTGGAGATTCCAAACACATACTCCATACTGCTAATGAAGCAAACCTGAAACCTAGTGTCACTCCCTAGTTGAAAAATCCTTTGATGGCTCCCCTCATCTACAGATTAAAGTTTAAACATTGTGAACAGCTTTGAAAGGCCTCCAAAATCTGGCTTTAATTTACCTTTCTAGTCTTATTGTCCACTTTCAATACTCTTCAGTTCATCACCACAGACACTTCACTTTCCCATCTCCCTACCTTGTGCAAGCTATTTCTTTAGCTTTGAATATTCTGCCCAACACATGTTGAAACTCTATTCCTCTTCCAAAGTAGCAAGGTATATTAGTAAGAACTCAGCCATCAAGTCCAGATCTAGACCCACTAGAATTCCACTACCTAGTAGCTTAATCACCTTGAGTAAATACATCAATAGATCTGCTTCATTATGCATACCACCTATGGTACTTTGTAAACTGCTGTAAGGATTAAACATAATAGTTATACATTAACACCATGCCTAAGGCATAGTAGATACTTAATAAATGTTACCTGCTGGCCAGGTCCGGTGGCTCACGCCTGTAATCCGAGCACTTTGGGAGGCCGAGGCAGGTGGATCACCTGAGGTCAGGAGTTCGAGACCAGCCTGGCCAACACGGGGAAACCTTGTCTGTACTAAAAATACAAAAATTAGCCAGGCATGGTGGCAGGCACTTGTAATCCCAGCTACTCAGGAGGCTGAGGCAAGAGAATAGCTTAAACCTGGGAGGCAGAGGCTGCAGTGAGCCGAGATCGCACCACTGCACCCCAGCCAGGGCAACAGAGCAAGCCTCCGTCTCAAAAACAAACAGACAAAAATTAGCCAGGCACTTCTAGTCCTAGCCACTTAGGAGGCTGAGGTGGGAGGATCACTTGAGCCCAGGAGTTTGAGGTTGCAATGAACTATGATCACGCCACTGCACTTCAGCCTGGGCAACAGAGATATGTTGTCTCAAAAAAAAAAAAAAAAAAAAAAAAAAAAATATATATATATATATATGTGTGTATATATATATGTGTATATATATGTGTGTATATATATATATGTATATATATATATGTGTGTATATATATATGTATATATATATACACACACACACGTATATATATGTATATATACAATATACATATATACACATATATATATATCTATATATATCGCATACCCATTATTCATGTGTGTACTTGACTTCTCCATTAAGTTACACAGAAGATGGTTGTGGATATAAATTTCTAAATCTCTACCACTTACTACTTGTGAAAGCTATTTGACCTCTCAGAACCTGTTTCTTCATTATTAAAATGAACAAGATTAACCCTTTACACTGTTATATTAAAAGGTTTAAAAGAGTTAAGGGGCCAGGTGTGGTGGCTCACATCTGTAATCTCAACACTGAGGCAACTCATCTCAACACTGTAATCTCAACCTCTGAGGCAGCAGTTTGAGAGCAGCCTGGACAACATAGCAAGACTCCCGTCTCTACTTAAAAAAAAATTTTTTTTTTGAGACAGAGTCCCGCTCTGTTGCCCAGGCTGGAGTGCAGTGGCACGATCTTGGCTCACTGCAACCTCCACCTCCCGGGTTCAAGTGAGCCTCCTGCCTCAGCCCCCCTAGTAGCTGGGATTACAGGCACATGCCACCATGCCTGGCTAATTTTTGTATTTTTAGTAGAGACGAGGTTTTGCCATGTTGGCCAGGCTGGTCTCGAACTCCTGATCTCAGGTGATCCACCTGCCTCGGCCTCCCAAAGTGCTGGGATTACAAGCATGAGCCACCACACATGGTCTAAAATATTTTTCTTAAAAAAAGAGTTAATGTACATCAACTGCTGCTTGGTATAATGCTTGGCATCTAATAAGTTTCAACAACTGTTTGTTTAATGGCAGTCTGGATAATGAATCTGATCCAGCGATTGCTTATAGAATAGAAAAATGAAAGATGCATTTCCCTCAATAAATCCAATTTCATAAGGCAATCTTAATACAGCTCGAACCTGCTACCCACCTCTCTTCTAATAAAGATCTCCACAGTTTTGGCCGGGCGCGGCGGCTCACGCCTGTAATCCCAGCCGAGGAGGGCGGATCACGAGGTCAAGAAATCGAGACCATCCTGGCCAACATCGTGAAACCCCGTCTCTACTAAAAATACAAAAAATTCGCTGGATGTGGTGGCGCGTGCCTGTAGTCCCAGCTACTCGAGAGGCTGAGGCAGGAGAATCGCTTGAAACTGGAAGGCGGAGGTTGCAGTGAGCCGAGATCGCGCCACTGCACTCCAGCCTGGGCAACAAGAGCGAAACTCCGTCTCAAAAAAAAAAAAAAGATCTCCACAGAAGATAAAATGGAGGTTCCTATGCACTTTACTTCAGAAATGCTATCATAGATTTATATTCATGCTCTTCCAGTATGAGACTAAATATACCATAATTTATAACTCACATTACTTCATTGCACTTAAACCACATGTTAGCTTACCCCTGAAGAGTTCTAAGGGGTAAAATGGTCTGCCAAAGTTAAACAACACTCTGAAATTGGTGGTCTACCTGGAAGTGTAAGCTGGTTGTCTGTTTAACTCATTCTCTAATAATAATTTGCTGGGTCATCAATTCAATTTCTCTACCAAAAATTCCAATCAAATGTCAATTACATCTATGACAGCATTTTTCCATTTATACACTTCCAACACACTGCTCAATTTAAGAGGGGAAAAAATAACCACTTCAAAATTTATTATAGTGAAGTCTATTCAAGGAAATTGCAAAAAAGTGAGAACTCGCCAAAAAAATATTTATTTTCTCAGCATTTGCATTCCACACTCAACTGTACACTGAAATATAAGTTGCACAAGACAGAAGTCAGAAGCCTGGGAAGGGTTCTGGAAGATGGACATAGCTTTAAATCTGACACCATCATTTTCTAGCTGTGTAACCTAAGCATTTTATTTCTTAGTCCTGATACCCTTCATCTGTAAATCAGGGACTAGAACAGTATGAACCTCATAGGGTTGCTGTATTAAATGAGGTTATGTATGCTAAGTGTTTACAAAGTACTTACATCTGAAATAGTAAGTGGGATTCTACCTAGCAGCGCTGCGCACTAAGGTTCTTCATATAGTTGAATAAATGAATATTTACACATTTTATATAAGGAAATAAGTGTATCAATAACTTTAGGTCTATCCTAAGTCAAATTAATAGCAGAAAATACTATTTGGGGGCATTTTGCAGTCTACAAGGCCCTTCTAACATCCATATGTCCATTTGATCTCCCGAACATCCTCAGGAGGTAGATTTTTTTTTTTTTGAGACGGAGTTTCACTCTTGTTGCCCAGGCTGGAGTGCAGTGGCACGATCTCGGCTCACTGCAACCTCCGCCTCCCGGGTTCAAGCGAGTCTCCTGCCTTAGCCTCCCGAGTAGCTGGGACCACAGGCGTGCACCACCACGCCCGGCTAATATTTGTATTTTTAGTAGAGACGGGGTTTCACCATATTGGCCAGAGTGGTCTCGAACTCCTGACCTCGTGATTCGCTGGCCTTGGCCTCCCAAAGTGCTGGGATTACAGGCGTGAGCCACCGCTCCTGGCCTGGGGGTAGACATTTTTAAGACAGTCCTTTCAGAGATAAGGAAACTGGTAACAAAGTGCCAAGGTTACCCACCCTAGTGGTATCCTCCAACCATTCTCCAGCTCAGGGGTAAGTGATCAGTGGCAAATGTTCTTAATACAACATCTTGTATTAACATAACATTTCTGCAAGTTACCACCCTCCTCAAGCATAGTTAAGCACAGGAATCCAGGAATAAGCCAAAAGTAATAAATCCCGACAGACCACTGATGACACTTATCATCTTGCATTGTTTCCTCACTTGGTGTCCTCCCACACCTCTAGGGCGGGGACCAGATCTGTGTGTAGGTGCCCCCTCCCCGACCGGAACCCCCAACACGAAACCTGGTATCCAAGAGGCCCCAGTTTGTGGGAGTGTATGTGGAAATGGCATGGGATGCTGGCAGGAGGTTTTCCTGTCAGAGACCCGAAATGACGCCAACTCCGCGGTGGGGACTAAGCTTCTCCGGCAGATATAGACTCGTTGGGCGGAGAGGGTCCGACCGATAACCGGGCTGGGAAGGATGGCTGAGGACTGACGCCGCTAAGGCAAACCAGGGAAGCTGACACGCTGAGGGCACAGAGGCACAGACGAGGCGGGTCTGCCCGCAGCGATGGCTGGAAGGCTAGGGTCCAACAGAGGCTTGGGGGCCGGGGGAATCAGGGCAGTTGGAGTCTGGGGGGGAGGGGGCCGGCCTGCTGGTCTGAGAAGGATCTGAACCCAATCTGAGGAGGGTTCTGAACTCCTCTAGGGGCCTACTCCCCATCCCACGGAGGCATCTGCTGCACCGAGTACTCGCTGCTACCTGAAACTGCAGCAGCTTCTCTGTCTGCTCCTGGGTTAGATCCCGCTCCTCAGGCGCCGCCATTTTGCCGCCGCCTCTACGCTCCTGACCCGTCCGCACCGTCACCCGCCGGAACTGACCTCAGCCACAACCACATCCGGTCTGAACGGCCGCCGGCGCGCAACTGCGTCTGCGCGCGCTGGCCCACTAACCTCCCCCCGCCCCCCGCCACCTCTGGCCGCCGCCAGAGGGCGCCACGCTCGGGCCTATCCCGAACACTTCCGGAAATTGCCGAGGGACTGTCGGTACAAGTCGCTCTTACCATTTAGGCGACGAAAGGATCTGCTAAGATTAGGCGACGAAAGGAGACCTAAGATTCCAGTGCAGTCTTGCAGAGCCGAGAGGGCCCGAATGTGCCTCGAGAAGCTCCGGAGCATCCCGAATGGCATTCGGCTGATTTCGGCTGCTCTCTAACCATTTTCCGGCAACCTCAGATACTCTTGGAGGTTTCTCGGGAGACGCAGCCGTTCCGAAATACCAGCCTTTTGGTCGCTGGCCCCTGACCTAAAGTTTCCAAAAGCTCCTGACCATCTCTCGGGAGGTTCCGAAGGGCTCTGGATACTGGCGCGGCATTTCCGACGCCGCCTTCGAAGCGGAAGCTGTGGGCAGACTTCGGCCACCGTTCCATTGCCGCTTCGGGGTCACTTGCAGGAAGATCTGGACTCGGCTCCCCGGATCCTCGACCATTCATGGCGCCCCCAGTCGTCCGCACAGCTTGCCGTCCACCGCCGTGACTGCGGCGCTGGAACCCCGGCCCGGCATCTGCTTTTCCGTGCCTGGAGCCTTGTCTCTCCGCACTAGCGCTGCACTGGCCCCTTGTCTCTGTGACAGGCGAAGAAAGATCCCTGGACCGGGATTAGGAGACGCGGGTTCTAGTTGCCACCTTGCCAACTGCTGGACATCCTTGGGCAAACCACTTGGGCTCCATTTTGCCATTTGTTGAATGAGATTCCCCAAAAGCCCCTGACGTGCTGCCGCCGCCCCTTCTCCTCGAGGCAGTCCCCTGCCCTTCCCTTCTGCTGCTTACACTACCCTATCACCACCCCTCAATCTCTATCTTCCTCTGCACGTCCCTTGCCCCTTCTAGTCCGCCACCTCTCTTTAGATTTCCCGTTTTCATTTCCACCTCTCCCGCCGAACGCCTCCTCTGCCCACCTTCCAGAGAGGCCTGGGTCTGGTACACGCTTTTCCACTGACCACCTGTGTGATTCTCAGCAAGGCTCTCGGCCGCCTGCGCCCCACCCTCGTCCCCTTGCAGGGTTGATCCGGTGAGACAGAAAAGGCTTTGAGAGCTGGTTCTGTGAAGAGTACATGAAATTTTGGCTACTTCTTTCAGGACTTATCAGGTCTTACCAGGTCTGCACAAACCACGACGTCCTGGAAAAACAGCACATGGTACGCCCTAAAACACAACCCCCAAAAAGTGCTAATTGGAAAAACAAAACAAAACAAAACAAAAACCCTGCAAATTTGGATCTGCATATGAAATCTTTCCGTTTAAAAATGGTGTCGGCCGGGCTCTGTGGCTCACGCCTGTAATCCCAGCGCTTTGGGTGGCCGAGGCGGGCGGATCACTTGAGGTCAGGAGTTCGAAACTGGCCTGGCCAACATGGCGAAACCCTGTCTCTACTAAAAATACAAAAATTAGCCAGGGTTGGTGGCGCACGCCTGTAGTCCTAGCTACTCGGGAGGCTGAGGCAGGAGAATCGCTTGAATCTGGGAGGCGGAGGTTGCAGTGAACTGAGATTGCCCCACTGTACTCCAGCCTGGGCGACGGAGTGAGACTCCGTCTCAAAAATAAATAAATAAATAAATAATATGTCAATTAAGTAAAAACCCCCGAAGGTAAAATCGGAAGCAGATAGCTGCTACTCTATAGAGAATTTATTACAGCAGCTCAAAGCTCAAAGGAAACTCAGTGTTGTTCAATCTCACCAATAACGTTGGGTTCAGATAAACTAAATGAGGGTTGGCAAAGTCAGATGTCCTCAGGAATTGTGTAATTCTCACTTAAGATATATACTTGCCAGCAGGCATGGTGGCAAATGCCTGTAGTCCCAGCTACTCGGGAGGCTGAGGTGAGAGGACCACTTGAGGCCATGAGTTCAAGGCTGTTGTATGCTGTGATCACACCACTGCATTCCAGCCTGGGTAACATATTCTTTCAACAGACCTAATTTGTAGTTATATGAAACACCATTGAATATTTCTTCACTTCCTCAAAGAAAGTTACACTTTCTTTTTCTATCTTTCTGTTTTCTTCTTTCTTTCTTTCTTTTCTTTGAGACGGAGTCTTGCTCTATCGCCCAGGCTGTAGTGCAGTGGCCTGATCTTGGCTCACTGCAAGCTCTGCCTCCTGGGTTCATGCCATTCTCCTGCCTCAGCCTCCTGAGTAGCTGAGGCTTACAGGTGCCTGCCACCATGCCCGGCTAATTTTTTTTTTGTATTTTTAGTAGAGATGGGGTATCACCGTCTTAGCCAGGATGGTCTACGATCTCCTGACCTCGGGATCCGCCCGCCTCGGCCTCCCAAAGTGCTGGGATTACAGACGTGAGCCATCGCACCTGGCCCTGTTTTCTTCTTTCAATAAAGATTAGGTTACAAGAAATAATTCATTTGTTTAAAACTCTACTTTAATGTGTCTCCGTGTGGGGACAAAATATGAAAAGCCGGAGTGTCCATTCCCTGTCCAAAGGTGGTTTTTGGCCAGACGCGGTGGTTCATGCCTGTAATCCCAGCATTCTGGGAGGCCAAGGTGGGAGGATTGTTTGAGCCTAGGAGTTGGGGACCAGCCTAGGCAATATAGTGAGACTGCCTCTACCAATTTTTTTTTTTTTTTTTAATTAGCCAAGTGTGGGCCGGGCACGGTGGCTCACACCTGTAATCCTAGCACTTTGGGAGGCTGAGGCGGGCAGATCTTGAGGTCAGGAGATCAAGACCATTCTGGCTAACACAGTGAAACCCTGTCCCTACTAAAAATAAAAAAAAATTAGCCAGGCATGGTGGCAGATGCCTGTAGTCCCAGGCCGAGGCAGGAGAATCGCTTGAACCTGGGAAGCAGAGGTTGCGGTGAGCCGAGATCGTGCCACTGCACTCCAGCCTGGGCAACAGAGCGAGACTCTGTCTCAAAAAAAAAAAAAAAGTTAGCTGAGTGTGTTAGTACGCATCTGCAGTTCTACCTAGTTAGGATGCTGAGGCAGGGATGATCACTTAAACCCGGGAGGCAGAGGTTGCAGTGAGCCATAGTCATGACTGCACTCCAGCCTGGGTAACAGAGCAAGACCCTGTCTCAAAAAAACAAACAAAAACAAAACAAAACAAAAAACAGACGGTTTCTGCCTTTTAGCTGTGGAGGATGGCTTCCATGTATTGCCGGAACTGCCCATTTTTTTTTCAGAGCACAGACATTCTCACCCCCCCAAAAAAATGTGAGGTGATGCATATGTTCATCAGCTTGATTTAGCCATTCCACAAAGTACACATATTTCAAAACATCATGTCCTACATGATACATTTTATTTGAAAAACATCACATTGTACACCTTAAAAAGTAAAATATGCTAATTTGAAAAGAAAAACTCTACACATTTGGATTTCCATGTGAAATCCCCCCATTTAAAAATGGTGTTGGCCAGGCGCGGTGGCTCATGCCTGTCATCTCAGCCCTTTGGAAGGCCGAGGTGGGTGGATCATCTGAGGTCAGGAGTTCAAGACCAGCCTGGACAACATGGTAAAACCCCGTCTCTATGAAAAATAGAAAAATTAGCCAGGGATGGTGGCCCGCACCTGTAATCCCAGCTACTTGGGAGGCTGAGGCAGGAGAATCACTTGAACCTGGGAGGCGGCGGTTGCAGTGAGTCGAGATCACGCCATTGCACTCCAGCTTGGAAGATAAGAGTGAAACTCCGTCACAAAAAGAAAAAAAGAAAAAGGTGTGAACTAATTCAATTCAAAAAAAGGTGTCAATTTCAAGAAAATTACTCTGCAAGTCAACCAGAATTGGAAGAAGCCTCATAGCCTCTGTTTGCCATGGAAGAAGCAGACCTGGGAAGAAACTCAAACTTTTTTTTGATAAGTTCAAGATGAAGAGTGTGAAAAGTGTTACCAGTTATTGGCTTGCCTTTTCTTTTTTTTATTTATATTTATATTTTATTTTATTTTATTTTATTTTTTGAGACGGAGTCTTGCTCTTGTAGCCCAGGCTGGAGTGCTGTGGTGCAATCTTGGCTCACTGCAAGCTCCGCTTCCTGGGTTCACACCATTCTCCTGCCTCAGCCTCCCAAGTAACTGGGACTACAGGCGCCCGCCACCACACCCGGCTAATTTTTTTGTATTTTTAGTAGAGACGGGGTTTCACCATATTAGCCAGGATGGTCTCCATCTCCTGACCTCGTTATCTGCCTGCCTCAGCCTCCCAAAGTGCTTGGGATTACGGGCGTGACCCACCACACCCAGCCTACTTTTTTTTTTTTTTTTTGAGACAGATTCTTGCTCTGTCACCCAGGCTGGAGTGCAGTGGCACTATCTCGGCCCACTGCAACCTCTGCCACCTAGGTTAAAGCGATTCTCCTACCTCAGCCTCCCAAGTAGCTGGGATTAAAGGCACATGCCAACAAGCCCGGCTAATTTTTGTATTTTTAAGTAGAGATGGGCTTCTCCAGGTTGGCCAGGCTGCTCTTAAACTCCTGACCTCAGGTGATCCACCCGCCTTGGCCTCCCAAAGTGCTGGTGTTATAGGCGTGAGCCACTGTGCCTGGCCTTCTTTTCTTTTTTTTTTTTTCCTCTTTTATTTTCTTTTCTCTTTTCTTTTCTTTTTTTTTTTTTGAGACAGGGCCTCCCTCTGTTGCTCAGGCCAGAGTATAGTGGCATGATCATGGCTCACCGCAGCCTCGACCTCCAGGGTGCAAGCGATCCTCTCACCTCAGCCTCCCAAGTAGCTGAGACTACAGGCACACACCACCACACCAGGCTAATTCTTTGATTTTATTATTTTATTTTATTTTACTTTATGTTCCAGGATACATGTGCAGAACGTGCAGGTTTGTTACATAGGTATATATGTGCCATGGTGGTTTGCTGCACCTATCAACCCATCCTCTAGGTTTAAGCCCCGCATGCATTAGGTATTTGTCCTAATGCTGTCCCTCCCCTTTCCCCCTACCTCCAGACAAGCCCCGTGTGTGTTTTTCCCCTCCCTGTGTTTACATGTTCTCATTGTTTAACTCCCACTTACGAGTAAGAACATGTGGTGTTTGGTTTTCTGTTCCTCTGTTAGTTTGCTGAGGATGATGGCTTCCAGCTTCATCCATGTCCCTGCAAAGGACATGATCTCATCCTTTTTTATAGCTGCATAGTATTCCATAGTGTATATGTTCCACATTTTCTTTATTCAATCATTGATGGGCATCCACGTCTTTGCTATTATAAATAGTGCTGCAATGAACATACGTGTGCATATGTCTTTATAGCAGAATGATTTATATTCCTTTGGGTATACACCCAGTAATGGGATTGCTCACAGCAGGCTAATTCTTGTACTTTTTGTAGAGATGGGGTTTCACCATGTTGCCCAGGCTGGTCTCACACTCCAGAACTCAAGCGATCTTTGTGCCTCAGCCTTTGAAGTAGCTTGGTCTAACAGGTCTGCACCACCAAACCCAGTTTATATTTTAATCCAAAGTGGATTTAAAAATTCCACCCAGGGTAAGAGGATTGCTTAAGCCCAGAAGACCAGCCTTGGCAACACAGTGAGACCTCTGTGTCTATAAAAAATAATAAGCAAAGTAAATCAGAGGCTGAGCTTGCAGTGAGCCAAGATCGCGCCACTGCACTCCAGCCTGGGCAACAGAGCGAGACTCTAAAAAAAAAAAAATCTGTTTGTAAAAAATTGCGTGATTTGTGAACTGTGAACAAGTTTAAATAACACCTGAGCTGGCAGAATGGGAAAGGGAGGAAAAGCAACAGACCTACTTACAGATGGTTTAAATAACCCATTTGCATTTAAATTGTCCCTACAATCTTAGCCTCTGCCTGGTTGGGAGGGCATGTTTCCCAGGAGACAGTGTAGTTTCCATTGAACTGCTTGCTGCGATGACCACCTGGACACTTTGGACACCTCATGCCGTAAACCTGCGAGTGGAGGAGTTGTCAGACCAGCAGGGTAATCCCCCTGTTTACAATGAGGGGCCAGGGTTGCTGTTATACACCACAGAGTCAGGAGTGTGTCTGGAGCTCAGGGGACTTACTGGGACATCTTTTGTCACTTCCACACCCAGTGATAACGGAAAACAAGCAATTGCCACAACCACAGCCTGACAAGGGAAGGTAATTAAAGGCTGAGACCCTTCCAAAATAAAAGTCTGGATTGCCCAGGCTGGAAAAGCATCAGGCCAACCAAAGTACTAGCCAAGGGTGAGGGAAATGCCGAATGAGTAATGGAGGAAGGAGATGACGATTATCACTTACAGCCTTGGGACCAGTTGCAGCTGCAGAGAGCTTAGTTTGTTTCACCAGCTAGCTCACCTTAAGTCTTTGTAGATTGTTGCTGGCTACTAAATGAAAAGGGATTTTTATGAATGTTTGGACTCCTACCGTCCCTCTTGGAAGGAATGAGGGCATTTTGTTCCTACAGTCGTGGAGAACTGTAGGACTGGATATAACGGGAGGGAGTGAGCAGTGCAAGGGAGGGACTGCATCCAACATCTCTTACATTTCACCTGAGATCTTTGCAGTCTTACCTATCTCCAAGGCCCTTGGTCACTTGTTGCACCCCCAGCCACTTCTGTGCTGATCAGTTCTACTTGGATGGATTCTGTCTGGCCACCTCCGTGGTGACCAGCTTGCACAGACCCAGTGCAACAGCATGTCACTTGCATGTGCACTACAGGCTTTGACTCCCGCCCTGGAGCTTTTCTATTGCTACTGGAGCAGGAGACACCATGGACCAGCGCAGCGCCTACCCACATGTGACCCAGAAGTGCAGGGGAAGTAATGGCCCGTGGGGCAAATTTTTGGCCATTAAGAGATGGGAGTGTGAACCCTGAAAGAGCCAGTCCTTCAAGATGGATCCTGAGTGGCTAAGTGGGCCTGAATTCAAAATACAGCCAAGCGGCCATTCACTGACTCTAGGTCACCCACGTATCCTGCATTCCCAGGAACCCACATGCTCATGTAATGTTGGGACTTTCATAGCTGTCTGTTCTTGTTCATCCTGCCAGAAATAACGACTGTTGGAAAATCCCATTTCGCCTCCTGAACTACTATTGTTTGAATATGGTTTGTTTGGCTCCGCCAAGTCTCATGTTGAAGTTTGATCCCCTATGTTGGAGGTGGGGCCATGTGGGAGGTGCTTGGGTGATAGGGGTGGATCCCTCATTAATAACTTGATGCTGTTCTTGTGGGAGGGAGGCAGGTCTCACTCTTAGCTCTCAAGATAACTGATTGTTGAAAAGAGCATGGCACCTCCTCCCCTCTCTCTTGCCTCTTCTCTCTCCATGTTATCTGCACAAGCCTGTTCCCCTTCACCTTTTGTCATAAGTGGAAACTTCCTGAGGCCCTCATCAGAGGCAGATGCTGGTGCCATGCTTCTTGTACAGCCTGCAGAACCGTGAGCCTAATAACCCTCTGTTCTTTATAAATTATGCAGTCTTGGGCATTCCTTTAGAGCAACACAAACAGACCAAGACACAGACCTAATCAGTAGACTATGACCTGTATCGACAAATCAGAATACAACAAGCATCAGTCAAAGATTGCATCCCTCGTTTGCATAAGTGGACCATAGTGAGAACATGGGCAGAGCTTTCTTTGTAAAAGACAACCCCTCTCTTTGTTCTCTCAGAAGGCACCTTTGTTTTCACTGAAGGATGCATCTCTCTGGTTTGCAAACTGTTCACTGGAATGAAGTCTCTCTTTTTTAAAAAAGACAATCCTTGGCCGGGCGTGGTGGCTCACGCCTGTAATCCCAGCACTTTGGCAGGCCGAGGCGGGCAGATCACCCGAGGTCAGGAGTTTGAGACCAGTCTGGCCAACATGATGAAACTCCATCTCTAATAAAAACACAAAAATCAGCCGGATGTGGTGGTGGGTGCCTGTAGTCCCAAATACTCGGGAGGCTGAGGCAGGAGAATCGCTTGAACGCAGGAGGTGGAGGTTGCAGTGAGCCAAGATCACGCCACTGCACTCCAGCCTGGGCAACAGAGAGAGATTCCGTTTCAAAAAAAAAAAGACAATCTTTGTCAGTGGAATTTATATATTTATTTATTTATTTTAGATAGTATCTCAGCTGGGCACAGTGGCTCATGCCTATAATCCCAACACTTTGGGAGGCTGAGGAGGGTGGATTCCTTGAGGCTGGGAGTTCAAGACCAGCCTGGGCAACATGGTGAAACCTCCTCTCTACAAAAAATACAAACATTAGCTGGGCACAGTGGCACATGCTGATAGTCCTGGGGCAGGAAAATAGGGTCTGGAGGCAGGGAACATAAGGCCGATTTACACTTCAGCTATAACAGGAAATATCCTCTCCATAGGGCATATGTTGTAAATAACTTTGTAACTTTACTTCATTCTCTCCATTTTCATAGGGTGTACCCGAAGTAACCAATGGAATCCTCTAGGGGATAGTTAAACTCCCAAAAATTCTGTAATGGGGTCCTTGAGCCTCTGTACTTGGGCCTGCTCCCACACTGTGGAGTGTACTTTCATTTTCAGTAAATCCCTTCATTCTTTCCTTGTTTCTTTGTGTATTTTGTCCAATTCTTTGTTCAAGATGCCAAAAACCTGGAACTCCTCCACCATTAACAGTCTCAGCTACTCAGGAGGCCAAGGCAGGAGGATTCGCTTGAGCCCCAGAGGTCAAGGCTGCAGTGAGCCGTGATTGCGCCACTGCACTCCAGCCTGGGTGACAGGAATAAAACTCTGTCTCACAGAAAAAAAAAAAAAAAGAGAGAGAGAGAGGGTCTCATTCTGTCTCTTAGGCTGGAGTGCATGGTGTGATCACGGCTTACTGTAGTCCTGACCTCAGGGACTCAAGCAGTCCTCCCACTTCAGCCTCCCAAATAGTTGGGACCACAGGTGTGTGCCACCATGCCCTCTTAATTTTTTTTATTTGTATTTTGTATACAGGCAGGGTCTCCCTAAGTTGCCGGTGTTGGTCTTAAACTCGTGGGCTCAAGTAATCCTCCGACCTCAGCTTCACAAGTAGCTGAGACCACAGGCAAATACCACCATGCCTGACTCATTTATTTGAGTTGATTTGTTGACAGGAGCCACCGGATAACATCTTGTCATCTCCTGCTGTGTGGTGAGCTGTCTCGTGTTGCAGTCGTTCATGTTGGCTCTCTGGGAATAGACCATGGGATTGACCAACACACTTAGCACCAAGCAGTAGGCAGCCCCTCGAATTAGCCCTCTCGTTTTCCTTGCCTCACTTTCCTGTTCCCTCAGGCCTGATTCCCTGAAATCACTCTCCCCAGTAAAGTATAAGCATGTGAGCTTTCAGTCAGGCTATATTCTCTACGATATTAAATATCAAATTAGTGACCCAACCACAGAGAAAATAAGGAATTTTTTTTTTTTGAATGGAGTCTCACTCATTCTGTCACCCAGGCTAGAGTGCAGTGGCATGATCTCAGCTCACTGAAATCTGCCTCCTGAGTTCAAGAGATTCTCCTGCCTCAGCCTCCCAAGTAGCTGGGATTACAGGTGCGCACCACCACCATGCCTGGCTAATTTTTGTATTTTTAGTAGAGACAGGATTTCACCATGTTGGCCAGGCTGGTTTCGAACTCCTGACCTCAGGTGATCCGCCTGCCTCAGCCTTTCCAAGTGCCAAAGTACTGGGATTACAAGCGTGAGCCACCGAGCCCAGCCAAAAATAACAAATTCAAGTGAACTTAAAACACAGTAATGTGGCCGGGCGCGGTGGCTCACGGCTGTAACCCCAGCACTTTGGGAGGCCAAGGCAGGCAAATCACCTGAGGTCAGGAGTTTGAGACCAGCCTGGCCAACATGGTGACACCCCGTCTCTACTAAAATGAGAAAATTAGCCAGGTGTGGTGGCACATGCCTGTAATCCCAGCTACTCGGGAGGCTGAGGCAAGAGAATTACTTGAACCCGGGAAGCGGAGGTTGCAGTGAGCCAAGATTGCGCCATTGCACTCCAGCCTGCGCAACAGAATGAGACTCCATCTCAAAAAATAAAAAACAAAAACAAAAAGCCATACGGTAATGTCTATGTATTCCTTTTTTTTTTGAGACGGAGTCTCGTGCTGTCACCCAGGCTGGAGTGCAATGGTGTGATCTTGGCTCACTGCAACCTCCGTCTCCCAGGTTCAAGCGATTCTCCCACCTCAGCCTCCCGAGTAGCTGGGATTACAGGCGCCTGTCATCATGCCCAGCTAACTTTAGTATTTTTGTAGGGACAGGGTTTCACCATGTTGGCCAGGCTGGTCTTGAACTCTTGACTTCAGGTGATCTGCCTGCCTCGGCCTCTCAAAGTGCTGGGGTTACAGGCATGAGGCACCACGTCTGACCTATATACTCCTTATAGGTTATATCCTGAGAACAAAAAGAAAAGCAAAGAAATCTGAAATGGTTTTAAATAATCCTAGTGTCAGTAATAATATTGATATTGTGATTTTATTTATTTTTGTTTTGTTTTGTTTTTTGTTTCTTTTTTGAGACAGGGTCTTGCTCTGTTGCCCAGGCTGGAGTGCAATGGTGTGATCTCAGCTTACTGCAACCTCCACCTCCCGGGTTCAAGTGATTCTCCCACCTCAGCCTCCCAGGTAGCTAGGACTACAGGCGCACGCCACCATGCCCGGCTAGTTTTTAGTAGAGACAGCGTTTCACCATGTTGGCCAGGCTGGTCTCGAACTCCTGACCTCAAGTGATCTGCCTGCCTCAGCCTCCCAGAGTGCTGGGATTTACAGGCGTGAGCCACTGCGCCCAGCCTGATATTGCTACACACACACACACACACACACACACACACACACACACACACACACACAGGCATGCACTTAAATATATACTCCCAGTGGGTCCTGAAACCACGAATAGTACCAAATCTGAATGCTGTCACTTGAAGCTTGTTTCTGTTCATCTCTCCCACCCACAAATGTAATGCCTTTTCCATCTGAACTAAGCACTTAACACATACTGCGGTGTAACTTTTGCAGTTTGGGGTGTGACAGCAAAACTGGCACAAATTTCGTTTTCCTTCTTGACAGTTTCATGGATAGATTTGTTTCTATCATAGATCTTAGCAACCTCAGCATACAATTTTTTTCTTTCCTTATTAAATCAAGAACGTTCACCTTTACACTTAAAGAAAGGAATGTATGGCTTCTCTTTGGCGTATCTGAGCTGCCAGCATCACTACTCTAAGCTTTGAGACCAATATTAAGTAAAATAAGGGGAACCTGAACAAAAGCACTGAGAACCGCAACAATTGATCTGTTAACTGCAGAGTTATCAGATCAACTGCAAAGTGACTGATGGGTGGGGAGTGTATACAGCATGGAGACGCTGGACAAAGGGGCGACTCACATCCCATACAGGATGGAACGGGAGGATGCAAGATTTCATCACGCTCCTCAATTCAAAACTTATGAATTGTTTATTTCTGGAATTTTCCATTTAATATTTTCAGACTGTGGTTGACCACAAGTAACTGTAACCATGGAAAGTGAAACCAAGAATTATAAGGGACTACTGTGTATATATGGAGACAGCAAAAAAGAGTAAATATGTTATGCATTGGAACCAAGATTTTTGGTGAAAGAAAAAATACATAGATCTAAAATCAAAGAGATTAAGTAAAAACATTATTTTAAATTTAAATTAGAAATTTCAGTAAGAGGCCAGGCGCCGTGGCTCAAGCCTGTAATCCCAGCACTCTGGGAGGCTGAGGTGGGCAAATCACGAGGTCAGGAGATGGAGACCATCCTGGCTAACACGGTGAAACCCCATCTGTACTAAAAATACAAAAAATTAGCTGGGCGAGGTGGTGGGTGCCTGTAATCCCAGCTACTCGGGAGGCTAAGGCACGAGAATGGCGTGAACCTGGGAGGCGGAGCTTGCAGTGAGCCGAGATCGCGCCACTGCACTCCAGCCTGGGCGACAGAGCAAGACTCTGTCTCAAAAAAAAAAAAAAAAAAAGAAATATCAGTAAGACAGTAAGACTACAGTGCGTTTTCTTTTTCAAACAGAAACTGTATTTCCTAGTTTTCTTGACTAAAGAGGTTTATAAGAAATAATCAGGCTAGGTGCAGTGGCTCACGCCTATAATCCCAGCACTTTGAGAGGACAAGGAGGGTGGATCACCTGAGGTCAGGAGTTCGAGACCAGTCTGGCCAACATGGTGAAACCCCGTCTCTACTCAAAAAAATGCAAAAATTAGCTGGGCATGGTGATGTGTGCCTATAATCCCAGCTACTCAGGAGGCTGAGGTGGGAAAATTACCTGAACCTGGGAGGTGGAGGTTGCAATGGGCCGACATCGCACCACTGTACTCCAGCCTGGGCTACTGAGCAAGACCCCGTCTCAAAAAAAAAAAAAAAAAAATTAATGCCTGAGGTGCCCACCTAGTGTTTTCTAAATACCATTTCCCACTCAAAGGTTACAAAACCCTTTGAAGAAATGATTAATTCCAGTCTGGGGCAGGACATGTAGAGGATGAGCCACAAACACCTTGCTGTACCAGAAAGCAATAAAGTTGTTACCTGAAACATCAAAACATCAGAATGTTAATGACATTGGAACAAGTTTGAAGAGGCTTCCACTGGCCAAAGACTGGGAAATTTAAGCATCAAAAAGTATACTGTTAGCTGGGTGTGGTGGCGTGTGCCAGTAGTCCCAGCTACTCAGGAGGCTGAGGTGAGGGAATCACTTGAGCCCAGGAGGCGGAGGCTGCAGTGAGCTAGGATCGCACCACTGCACTCCAACCTGGGCAACAGAGTGGGACCCTGTCTCTAAAATATTAATAATGATAATGATGATGACTATCCTTCTCCACTGAATTGCCTTTGTAACTTTGTTGCAGTGGTCTGTACATGTGTAAGACTTCTAGACTCTATTCTCGTTATTTATCTGTTTATCTTGATGCCAATACCATTCTGTCTTGATTACCGTAGCTATATAGAACATCTTGACGTTGGGCACAGTGGCTCATGCCTGTAATCCCAACACTTCAGGAGGCTGAGGTGGGTAGATCACGAGGTCAGGAGATCGAGACCGTCCTGGCCAAAATGGTCAAACCCCGTCTCTACTAAAAATACAAAAATTAGCTGGGTGTGGTGGTGCGTGCCTGTAGTCCCAGCTACTCGGGAGGCTGAGGCAGGAGAATGGCTTGAACCAGGGAGTTGGAGGTTGCAGTGAGGTGAGATCGCGCCACTGCACTCCAGCCTGGCGATAGAGTGAAACTCCATCTCAAAAACAAAAAACAAAACACAAAAAAACAAAATCTTGAAATCAGGTTGTTAGTTATCCAGCTTTGCTCTTTTCTAAAATTGTTTTGGCTATTTTAGGTCCTTTACATTTCTGAACAAATTTTAGAATCAGTTTGTCAATTTCTTTCTTTTCTTTTTTTTATTATTATTTTTTAATATATATTTTTTATTGATCATTCTTGGGTGTTTCTCACAGAGGGGGATTTGGCAGGGTCATAGGACAATAGTGGAGGGAAGGTCAGCAGATAAACAAGTGAACAAAGGTCTCTGGTTTTCCTAGGCAGAGGACCCTGTGGCCTTCCGCAGTGTTTGTGTCCCTGGGTCCTTGAGATTAGGGAGTGGTGATGACTCTTAACGAGCATGCTGCCTTCAAGCATCTGTTTAACAAAGCACATCTTGCACCGCCCTTAATCCATTTAACCCTGAGTGGACACAGCACATGTTTCAGAGAGCACAGGGTTGGGGGCAAGGTCACAGATCAACAGGATCCCAAGGCAGAAGAATTCTTAGTACAGAACAAAATGAAAAGTCTCCCATGTCTACTTCTTTCTACACAGACACGGCAACCATCCGATCTCCCAATCTTTTCCCCACCTTTCCCCCCTTTCTATTCCACAAAACTACCATTGTCATCATGGCCCGTTCTCAATGAGCTGCTGGGTACACCTCCCAGACGGGGTGGTGGCCGGGCAGAGGGGCTCCTCACTTCCCAGTAGGGGCGGCCGGGCAGAGGCGCCCCTCACCTCCCAGACGGGGCGGCTGGCCGGGTCGGGGGCTGACCCCCCACCTCCCTCCCGGACGGGGCGGCTGGCCGGGCAGAGGGGCTCCTCACTTCCCAGTAGGGGCGGCCGGGCAGAGGCGCCCCTCACCTCCCGGAAGGGGCGGCTGGCCTGGCGGGGGCTGACCCCCACCTCCCTCCCGGACGGGGTGGCTGCCGGGCGGAGACGCTCCTCACTTTCCAGACGGGGTGGCTGCCAGGCGGAGGGGCTCCTCACTTCTCAGATGGGGTGGCTGCCGGGCGGAGGGGCTCCTCACTTCTCAGACAGGGTGGCTGCCGGGCGGAGGGGCTCCTCACTTCTCAGACGGGGTGGTTGCCAGGTAGAGGGTCTCCTCACTTCTCAGACGGGGCGGCCGGGCAGAGACGCTCCTCACCTCCCAGACGGGGTCGCGGCCGGGCAGAGGCGCTCCTCACATCCCAGACTGGGCAGCGGGGCAGAGGCGCTCCCCACTCAGACGATGGGCAGGTCAGGCAGAGATGCTCCTCACTTCCTAGATGGGATGGCGGCCGGGAAGAGGCACTCCTCACTTCCTAGATGGGATGGCGGCCGGGCAGAGATGCTCCTCACTTTCCAGACTGGGCAGCCAGGCAGAGGGGCTCCTCACGTCCCAGACGATGGGGGGCCAGGCAGAGACGCTCCTCACTTCCCAGACGGGGTGGCGGCCGGGCAGAGGCTGCAATCTCGGCACTTTGGGAGGCCAAGGCAGGCGGCTGGGATGTGGAGGTTGTAGCGAGCCGAGATCACGCCACTGCTCTCCAGCCTGGGCACCATTGAGCACTGAGTGAACGAGACTCCGTCTGCAATCCCGGCACCTCGGGAGGCCGAGGCTGGCGGATCACTTGCGGTCAGGAGCTGGAGACCAGCCCGGCCAACACAGCGAAACCCCGTCT
Source organism: Homo sapiens (assembly GCF_000001405.40). Classification (NCBI taxonomy): domain Eukaryota; kingdom Metazoa; phylum Chordata; class Mammalia; order Primates; family Hominidae; genus Homo; species Homo sapiens. The sequence goes on along the minus strand of NC_000005.10, from coordinate 176,433,308 downwards.
CCACCAAAAAAATACGAAAACCAGTCAGGCGTGGCGGTGCGCGCCTGCAATCGCAGGCACTCGGCAGGCTGAGGCAGGAGAATCAGGCAGGGAGGTTGCAGTGAGCCGAGTTGGCAGCAGTACAGTCCAGCTTCGGCTCGGCATCAGAGGGAGACCGTGGAAAGAGGGAGAGTCCAGCTTCGGCTCGGCATCAGAGGGAGACCGTGGAAAGGGGAGAGGGAGAGGGAGAAGGAGAGGGAGAGGGAGAGGGAGAGGGAGAGGGAGAGGGAGAGGAGGGAGGGGGAGGGGGAGGGGGAGGGGGAGGGGGATGGGGAGAGGGAGAGGTCTTTCTTTTATTTTTTAAAGACTGCTGGGAGTTTTATTGCATCTTTTTTTTCCCCCAGGTTCCTTCCAAGAATTTACATCTTATTATTGACTCTTCTAATCCATAAATAAGGTATATCTTTCTATTTACTTAGACCTTATTTAACTTCTCTCAACAACATTTTGTAGTTCTTTCTTTTTTTGAGACGCAGTCTCACTCTGTCGCCCAGGCTGGAGTGCACTCTTGGCTCACTGCAACCTCCACCTCCCGGGTTCAAGCGATTCTCCAGCTGCACCCCATCCAGCACCAGCTAGGACGTACCAAGGGTCCCAGGAGCCTCAGAACATCTCCATCTTCATAGACGTGTGTTTCATAGTTCAGGGGCTGCGAAAGGAAAATAAATCTTGGGGCCCCCAGATCGCTAAGCTAAAGGGAAAAGGTCAAGCTGGGAATTGCTTGGGAGAAACTTGCTTCCCATTCTATTCAGTCACCCCTCTGCTCACTGACATACACGCATATCCGATTGCCTGCTTTGAAGAGGCTACTCAGAAACTCAAAAGAATGCAACCATTTGTCTCTTATCTACCTATGACCTGGAAGCCCCCTCCCCATGGAGTTGTCCCACCTTTGCTTCAAGTTGTCCCACCTTTCTGGACTGAACCAATGTTCATATGTAAATGTGTTGATTGATGTCTCATGTCTCCCTAAAATGTATAAAACTAAACTCTGCCCTGACCACCTTGGGCGTATGTCGTCAGGACCTCCTGAGGCTGTGTCACAGGCGCGTGTCCTCAACCTTGGCAAAATAAACTTTCTATATTAACTAAGACCTGTCTCAGGTATTCAGGGTTCACGTTTTGGTAACCGTGGAAGGATTCTGAGTGGAGATGCCCCTGACCTTTGGCAAATCTCCTATCAGTGCTTGGGACCAGCATGAGCTACCTTTATGGCTCAAACCAATAGGACAGCTTGCTGAGGCCTGGATGCACCCCCTCCAGAGAATCCCTGATTTCCCAAAATTTGGTGGAGATCTAAAGTTTATTTTGCTGTGCAACTCCCTTGTTTGCAGTTTTGCTTGCTTCCAACAAGAAGGCAAGATTTCCTGCTTCCATGATGATTTAAAGGCAGGTAATTCCTTTATGGAGTTTGAGCTCGCTCCCAGCAGGGAAGATGAGTTTGAGTTTTTTCCTGCTTCTAGCATGGTAGAGAGTAGTCTTCAGCCTGAGACCCATCCCTAGGTAAGTAGCTGAATTGTGGTTTTGTCTTGGCTAAAGTTTAACAACCAGCTGATCTTAATTTCTCTTTACCATTAGCGTGCTCAGTGACCATAGTGTTGGGTTTGTTGTTATTGTTGTATGTTCTAGTCTTTCTCCCATTAGATTTGACCAACTCTATGTGACTTTGTCAAATCCAAGTGCAAATTCCAAATTATGGGTAACAAAGCCTCTTTAATTTGGCTAACATTTCTTGCAGCTGCAAAAGAGGGAAAACAAAAAAACAAAAAACCCCCAAAAATCATGTGCTTGGTTTCTGTGTTTGCTTTCTGTCTTAAAAAAAAAAAACTCTTTTTTTTTTTTTTGGCAGGGGGGACAGGGTCTCTCATTCTGTCACCCAGACTGGAGTGCAGTGGCGTGATCTGGGCTCACTGCCACCTCTGCCTCCCGGGTTCAAGCGATTCTCCTGCCTCAGCCTCCCGAGTAGCTGCGATTACAGGCGCACACCACTAAGGCCCGGCTAATTTTTGTATTTGTATTTTTATTTTTTAGATGGAGTCTCACTCTGTCACCCAGGCTGGAGTGCAGTGGTGCGATCTCGGCTCACTGCAACCTCTGCCTCCCAGATTCAAGCGATTCTTCTGCCTCAACCTCCTAAGTAGCTGGGACTACAGGCGTGTGCCACCACACCCAGTTAATTTTTGTATTTTTAGTAGAGACGGGGTTTTACCACGTTGGCCAGGATGGTCTCAAACTCCTGACCTCAAATGATCCATCTGCCTTGGCCTCCCAAAGTGCTGGGATTACAGGGATGAACCACTGCACCCAACCAAAAATAATTTTTTTATTTACTTTTCTTCCACCCTGTACCTGCTTCCCTCTTTGCCATCCGCACTACCAAAAAATCTAGAAAAGGCTTCCAATGACTTAATCCTCTTTAAATAATTCAAACAAAGGCACCACTCACCCTTTTTGAGGTGTTCTATTTTCTCTGTGGAGTTTTAAGAGTCAAGAGCAGATTTTTCTTAGGTCTAAAGCTCTGTTTTCCTGTATTGTATGCCCTGACCTCTTGGGCTTTGGGGGTACCAGAGATTACCTTATACTGTGAGAGGATTTGACCTTGGTGTGTGTAATGGCGGATGAGAGCTACAAAGTAGGGGTGGCTGAGCACAGTTTACAGGAAGTGGTCTTGGCTGTTGGTTTTTTTTTGCTCTCCTAGGAAATTGTTTAAGGATCCTAATTCTAGTTCAGAGATGCTCTCAAAATTAATCCAAACTTGGCTTCTCTGTGCATATTTGTGTGAGGAACTGAACTGTTGTTTTCATAGGTAAATGAGAGACTAAGTTTTCTCAGCACCTAAGAGAAAGGGCATTTGCTCCCCCCCGCCGAAAGGGACCCTTGGGTGACTGGGGGCCTCGTGGGAGTGTCTGGGGGGATTCAGCCCCTGTGATGTGCAGTGGCCCCACAGGGAAATCCCCAACAAAAATTAATTAAAAAAAAGGCTTGTCTAAGAAACTCATATAAGAGCTGACACTCAGCCTTCTGAGCCCTTTCAGAGGTCATAGACCTCTGGAGAGAGAAACAGAGGGTGGAAACAACTCAGTGGTGACACACTGTGGAGTCCTGCTCACAAGCAGTACGCATCCATCCACCACACAAAAACCCTATGCCACAGCGCAGCGCCTCCTTTTAAGGAAAAAAAAAAAAAGTGGGAAACAAATAATCTAAGAATGAGAAGAAAACGAGGAAAGTGACCCCCTTGAGAGCACTGCATAGGTTTTATGGCACCTCTACTTGCCAGAATTTATGTAAAATGAAAATAATATGGTCTTTATGCACAGTTACATTAAGGAAAAAGAGCCCTAAGGTCGACCTGCAAACTATAGAGTTCCAAGGTCCTCTTTTTCTCTATTTTATTTGCTGCCTGCTTTAAGTCTACTGTTATTTTTCTATTAAAATAAAAACCATTGTTTGGATCCAACAGGTTCTTTTCGCAAGCTGGTGAATTTGTATTTATCTCATGGCTAAAGTTCTGAAGTAAAAGCTGTAGGATCTTTGTGTATGTGTGTGTGTATATATTTAAAAGGCCTTTATAATGTCTATAATTTTATGTTCAATTGGCAATTAAATCTGTTTTAATTTCCCTCTAGCACACTATACTTTTTTCTCCGTACCTTATGATCTAAATTTTGCTATTTGATTTTAACCTGAGTTGTTTCCTTTAATACATAACTTTAAGGCAATTTAGCTGACAATTGCCTAGGGCAGTGAAACAGGTTATCAAGAATTTGAAGGTCTAAGATAGGAAAATAAAAAGATTTTTATGAATCTATAAGATGTACTTCTTTTTTTTGAGACAGCCTTGCTGTGTCACCCAGGCTGGAGTGCAGTGACGTGATCTTGGCTCACTGCAACCTCTGCCTCCTGGGTTCAAGCAATTCTCCTGTCTCAGCCTCCCAAGTAAATGGGATTACAGGCACCAGCCACCATGCCCAGCTAATTTTTGTATTTTTAGTAGAGACCGGGTTTCACCATGTTGCCCAGGCTGTTCTCGAACTCCTGACCTCAAGTGATCTGCCCACCTCGGCCTTTCACAGTGCTGGGATTACAGGTGTGAACCACTGCGTCTGGCCAGAAAACATTGTTTCTAAAAAAAAAAAAAAAAAAAAAAAAGATGTCTTTTTTAAAAAGGAGAACAATTTTTGTCTAATTCAAAGCTTATTTAAAGGTTATATGGCTATATATTAAAAAGGTAAAAGAAACCAGGAAATAAGAGAGATGTAAAGAAAGTTATAAAAATAAAGAGTTTTATTTTGTTTGTTTGGCTGGTTTTTTTTGGTAAGAAGGCTTAAAGATAATTTTTTTTTTTTTTTGAAATGGAGTTTTGCTCTTGTTACCCAGGCTGGAGTGCATTGGTGTGATCTCAGCTCACTGCAATGTCCACCTCCCAGGTTCAAGCGATTCTCCTGTTTCAGCCTCCCAAGTAGCTGGGATTACAGGTGCCTGCTACCACCCCTGGCTAATTTTTGTATTTTTAGTAGAGACAGGGTTTCACCATGTTGGCTAGGCTGGTCTTGAACTCCTGACCTCAGGTGATCCTCCTGCCTTGGCCTCCCAAATACAGACATAAGCCACTGTGCCCAGCCATGAGAAACAATTTTATATGAGCAAGAACCTTGTATTGTAAGTTTAGTCCTAGAATAAAATGACCTGTTGTTTAAGAAAGAGGGGGTGTTTGGCTGGGCGCAGTGGCTCACACCTGTAATCCCAGCACTTTGGGAGGCCGAGGTGGGTGGATCACCTGAGGTCAGGAGTTCAAGACCAGCCTGGCCAATATGGTGAAACTCCGTCTCTACTAAATTTATAAAAAATGAGTTGGGTGTGGTGGCATGTGCCTGAAAGTCTAGCTACTCAGGAGGCTGAGGCACGAGAATCACTTGAACCCGGGAGGTGGAGGTTGTAGTGAGCTGAGATCGTTCCACTGCACTCCAGCCTGAGTGACACAGTGAGACTCTGTCAAGAAAGAAAGAAAAAGAGAGAGAGAGAGGGGGAGGGAGGGAGGGAGGGAGGAAGGAAGGAAGGGAGGGAGGGAGGGAGGGAGGGATGTTCAGGACAAACCAGGAAGTCCAAGCATGGCATGAACAGTTTGTGTGAGTCATAAGAAGAGGATATAATTTAAAAAAATAAACTTTTATATGATCAAGTTGTCTGTTAATTAAAGGGAAATTGTAATGGTCCTTCTAGAGACTGGGATTGATGTAAATGAAAAATGTAGTAAATAATTGGTACGAGCAATGGAACTTTCTTAAGGGATTGATTTATTGTTAATAAACTGTAAGAGATTTAAATATTATAACCCAAAGTTCAACTTCTATTTAAATATTATAACCCAAAGTTCAACTTCTATTATATCTTACCATTTTTGGTTTTCTCTCCTCTTTTAAAGGGCAAGACAGTAATGCTCTCCAACTTATTTTTCAGCTCATATAAGTTTTTTTCCTTGAGTTCTATTTGTTGTGGACTGATGTTAACAATGTTTTCTTAAAGGTGTAAAGGAAATGTTTTCTTCCAACATAATATTCAGTGCAGTGCTGAAGGTCTTTTCTTTTGCCTTTTGGTAACTAGCCTAACAAATTTTATGGTTTGCAGAAACAATTCCTATGCCATTATTATGAAGTTTGAGTTTGCTTAGAAAAAAAGTGAGATTAAAAGAATCTTTTTGCTGGGTGTGGTGGTTCATGCCCGTAATCCCAGCCCTTTCAGAGGCTGAGGCGTGCGGATCACCTGAGGTCAGGAGTTTGAGACCAGCCTGATCAATATGGTACATGCACGTCTCTACTAATATTACAAAAATTAGTCGGCATGGTGACACGTGCCTGTAGTCCCAGCTACTTGAGAGGCTGAGACAGGAGAATCTCTCAAACCTGGAAAGGCGGAGGTTGCAGTGAGCTGAGATCATGCCACTACACTCCAGCCTGGGTGACAGAGCGAGACTCTGTCTAAAAAAAAAAAAAAGAATTTTTTTAACTTTAAGGTTATTACATTCACGTGTCTTTCTGTATGGGCTTTTAAAGTTCTTGTGACACTGAGTTAAAGGGCTTTGACTACTGGATCTAAGAAGGACACCAAGTCTTGCTAAATGTTGAACACTGACATCAATTAAAGCCTCATCTTCAGGCCTGATAGAAGATGCCAGTCAAAATAAACTGCATTCCTGAGACACAGGGCCAGAAATTAAAGCCATTGAACTCCTCAAGGCCCAGGGACTATCATGGAGGAGGTGGGCATGTGAGATTGTAAAGGCCAATTTTGAGAGATAAAATAAGTTCAGCTTCCCTAGAAATTAATCATTAATGTCAAATGCACACTGATGCAAGACCAGCATATGGGTCCCTGTGTCAGATTAACAATGTTTTCTTGAAGCATTAACCAACTAATTAATAAAGGTTATAAAAGGCTTATGGAAGTTATAACTTATGGTCAAGATTAAAATTTTAGAGATAGCTTATAAAATTTTGAAAAACAAATTTAATTGGCTTCATGCTGTTTTCATTAGGGCTTATTGTTTGTAAAATTAAGTCTCCTCTCTCAAAGAATGAAGGTTTTGCCTTTTTTTTTTGAAATCCTTGAGTTAGCACTTTGGTCAAAAGAATGACTTATTTTACAATGACCTGTGGTATCAAGTGTTTTCAACCTTTGATATTTGACAAACTTTCTGAAATCAAATTATAAATTATGTCTTTTTCCGACCTAATTAATGCTTTAGAATATTAGATTCCCTAAAGTCCAAAAATGACATAATTTGGCTTATTTGGTATAAAAATTATACAGAAAACATGGTCGAATATGAAATGGTGTTTGGTTTTCTTTGGGCTGTATTTGTATAAATATGTTATTGGTATGTGTTCTAAAATTATGGGAAACCCCTATAATTATTATATGACTTAGTGTACTTTATCAGTTATAATTATAATTGTTACATTAATGTGCCACAGAGGTAACAAATACCCTTGTCAATTGTGTCTTTGACTATGGCTGCCCTAAAACTTTTCGTCATCCACAGACAATTGTTGTCTTGTTTTGGTCCTCTTTAGAAGGTGGTTTTATAATCAGCTATAAAATCTAACATGTGCTCTTGAATACAAGTTTTTGATACATTTGGAGATTGTGACATCAGAATAGAATAAAACTTTCAGGACTCATGGAGAAGTGAAACGTTCATGAATATCAAGCTGAACAGGAATTAACTGCATAGAAAGAGTTAATAGAAGACTGATGTAATCTTTTTTACTTTTTGTTGAAAACATTGCTAATCCTTTGTTTTGTTTTTTCAGAGTCAAGGGAAGTTTTCTTTTGAGCTATTGACAGCTTTTAATAATTTAGTATACTCCTGTGAACAACATTTAGAACACATTTTTTTCTCTCTACCTGATTTCTCCAGAATTTGGAAACTATTTGTGACTATTCTTAACTTATGGTAATACAGTTATTTGCATCAGTACAATAAGAATCTGTTTCCAGGGGAGCGTGGTGGCTCACAACTATAATCCTAGCACTTTGGGAGGCCGAGGCGGGCAGATCACCAGAGGTTGGAAGTTTGCGACCAGCCTGACCAACATGGAGAAACCCCATCTCTACTAAAAATACAAAATTAGTTGGGCCTGGTGGTGCATACCTGTAATCCCAGCTACTCGGGAGGCTGAGGCAGGAGAATCGCTTGAACCTGGGAGGCGGAGGTTACGGTGAGCCAAGATCATGCCATTGGACTCCAGCCTGGGCCACAGGAGCGAAACTCTGTCTCAAAAAAAAAAAAAAAAGAATCTGTTTTCATTTATTGCAGGACACAATTGGAGAAACTGGTTACTGACTAGAATGGTATGCTTTCCTTCAAGGAAACAAACTTGACTTATGGAGCCAATAAAAGCACCTTGGGAAAACTGGCCTCTTACCTTGTCTACACAGTCCCTGTACAGGGTTCCTGACCTGTGGTAAGTAAGGAATGTTACTTTCTGACAGGCCCAGCAGCCACAAGTTTATCTTGGAACTTCAAGAAGAGAGGAATTCACCCAACTCATAGGTATTTGATAGTATAAATCCATGGCTGGGCTTGGTTTTAAAAAAGTCTTATCTGAGATTCCTTCTATGGAACAAAGTCCCATCACAGCCAATTTAAAAGCCTATGTAAAAAAAATTATTCTTGTTGCACTGTATACAAATAATCAGGCCAAGTATAATAAAGCAAATCAGTCCTACCATGACTTGTCTATAGTAAAAATGGGAAACCGGAGACAGAAAAATTATGTTTCACAAACTATAGTACACCTATTTTTAGATTCTAATCTTGCCTAATGTTTTTCAATTTTTATTATTTTTTACAGTTTGGACCGAATTCTAATTTTTCTTGGCTACAAGTCTTCAAAATAATGTTTTTAATTTTTTTCCTCCTTTTTTTTTGAGACAGAGTCTCACTCTGTCACCCAGACTGGAGTACGGCAGTGCGATCTCGGCTCACTGCAATCTCTGTCTCCCGGGTTCAAGCAATTGTCCTGCCTCAGCCTCCCAAGGAGCTGGGATTACAGGTTCCTGCCACCATGCTCAGCTAATATTTAGTATTTTTATTAGAGACAGGGTTTCACCACGTTGGCCAGGCTGGTCTTGAACTCCTGACCTCAGGTGATCCACCCGCCTCGGCCTCCCAAAGTGCTGGGATTACAGGTGTGAGTCACCGTGCCTGGCCCTGTTTTTAGACATTGGCAATGGGCAGCACAGGGCTGTGATCCCTGAGAGAAGAGAAACAAACAGGGTGAACCCTGTGATTTTCCAGGTGTAGGAAAACAGCCTGTTGCCTGGCAAGAGTAACACTATCTTAAAGGGAAACCACCATAATGACCCATGTTTGACTAGTGCATATACTGAGGCAGTCCTGCAGCAAAGTCAGGAAACAATGCCTGTAATGGAGATAACCCCTTGCAAAGAAACAGTGCCTGTACCAGAGACAACCTCTCATAAGGATGTTTATCTAGGCTGGCTTGCAGTGGCTTAATCCCAGCACTTTGGGAGACTGAGGTGGGAGGATCGCTTGAGCCCAGGAATTTGCGATCAGCCTGGGCAACACAGTGAGACCCTGTCTCTTAAAAAAAAAAAAAAAAAGAGCTTATTTAACTTCCCCAGTGGTCAGGAGTTTCACAAGAGGTCTGAGGCTAAAATCTTGCTATAAAAAGGATAATTTCTGGATGGCAGTTGCAGAGATCCACTGCCGTGTGGCTGTCTAAGACAAGGCTTTTGTTTGTAAGTCTCTATTAAATGTTTCTTTCTGATAAACTGGATTTGTCAACCTCTTTCTTCGGCCTCTCAGCTCCCTTGGCCTTTGGAGGTAGGTTAGCTTAGATCTGCTCACAGCAGAACACCACGCTTTCTGCCTGAAGGAATTTCTTTTTTCTTTTCTTTTTTTTTTTTTTGAGATGGAGTTTCGCTCTTGTTGCCCAGGCTGGAGTGCAATGGTGTGATCTCAGCTCACTACAACCTCTGCCTCCTGGGTTCAAGCGATTCTCCTGCCTCAGCCTCCCGACTAGCTGGGATTACAGGCATGCGCCACCACACCTGGCTAATTTTGTATTTTTAGTAGAGACGGGGTTTCTCCATGTTGGTCAGGCTGGTCTCGAACTCCCGACCTCAAGTGATCCGCCCACCTCGGCCTCCCAAAGTGCTGCGATTACAGGCGTGAGCCACTGTACCCAGCCCGCCTGAAGGAATTTCTAAGCTGCTAGGAAGGTAAGGGGAACCCAAACAGAGTCCAGCAGTCTCACAGAGGCAAGAGACAGAGATAGGAGTTTGGGGAAGTTGAAGTGGCTAGGATTTGCAGGGTAAAGTACTGAGAAGAGGGAGCTAGGCAGGGCAAGAATTCCAGAAATGTGCATAGGAATTAGCTTTAAATCATCAGCCAAATAATAATCTGTGCATCCATAGAATAAAACTCCACTAGTCTGGGCAAAAATAATTTATGAGGATAGAAAGTTGGTTCTTCATCTGGGCATGGTGGCTCACACCTGTAATCCTAGCACTTTGGGAGGCTGAGGTGGGCAGATCACTTGAGGTCAGGAGTTCAAGATTAGCTTGGCCAACATGGTGAAACTCCATCTCTATAAATAAGAATAATAATAAAAAATTAAAAAAAAGAAAGTTGGTTCTTTGAAAAGATCAACAAAATTGACAAACCTTTAGCTAGATGAACTAACTAAGAAAAAAGAAGATTCAAATCACTAAAAGTAGATACAAGAATGGGGACATTGCTACTGATTCCATCGGAATAATAAGGATTATAAAAGACTACTGTGGCCGGGCGCGGTGGCTCACGCCTATAATCCCAACACTTTAGGAGGCTGAGGCAGGAGGATCACCTGAGGTTGGGAGTGTGAGACCAGCCTGACCAACATGGAGCAACCCTGTCCCTACTAAAAATACAAAATTAGCCAGGTGTGGTGGCACACACCTGTAATCCCAGCTACTCAGAAGGCTGAGGCAGGAGGGAGAATCGCTTGAACCTGGGAGGTGGAGGTTGCGGTGAGCCGAGATCACACCATTACAATTGCTAGAAACACAAAAACCTATCAAGACTAAACCATAAAGAAATAGAAAATCTGAGTAAACCTATAACTAGTGAGATTGGATCGGTAATCAAAAATCTCCTGACAAAGAAAAGCCCAGGATCTAATGGCTTCACTGGTGAATTCCATTAAACATTTAAAGAAGAACCAACTCTTCTCAAACTTCTCACAGAAATTGAAGAGAACACTTCCTAACTCTTTCTATGATGCCAGCATTATGCTGATACCAAAGCCAGATAAAGACACTACAAGTCCCAGTAATAGCATGAAAAAAAGAAGACACTAGTAGAAAAGAAAACTATGGATCATTATCTCTTGTGAACATTGATGCAAAAATCCTCAGCAAAATACTCAGTAACCGAATTCAACAGCACAATAAAAGGATTGTGTACCTTGACCAATGGGGTTTACACCCAGAATGCAAGGGTGGTTCACCATACAAGAATCAATCAATGTAATGTACTGCATTAACTGAATTAATTTAAAAAACACGGCTGGGCACGGTGGCTCACGCCTGTAATTCCAGCACTTTTGGAGGCCGAGGTGGGCGGATCACGAGGTCAGGAGATCGAGACCATCCTGGCTAACACAGTGAAACCCCGTCTCTACTAAAAATACAAAAAAATTAGCCAGGCGTGGTGGCGGGCGCCTGTAGTCCCAGCTACTCAGGAGGCTGAGGCAGGAGAATGGCGTGAACCCAGGAGGCGGAGCTTGCAGTGAGCCGAGATCGTGCTACTGCACTCCAGCCTGGGTGACAGAGCGAGACCCCGTCTCAAAAAAAAAAAAAAAACCATGCGATCATCTCAATAGAGCAGAAAAAACATTTGGCAAAATTCAACACCCTTTCATGATAAAAACAGTCAATAAAGTAGGAACAGAAGGTAGTTATATAATGTAACAAAAGCCATATATGAAAAATCTGGCCAGGTATGGTGGCTCACACCTATAATGCCAACACTTTTTGGGAGGCAGAGGCAGGAGGATCACTTAAGCCCAGTAGTTTGAGACCAGCTTGAGCAACATAGTGAGACCCAGCTCTATAAAAAAGAAAAGAAAAGAAATCCACAGCAAACATCATACTCCATGGTGGAAGACTGAAAGCTCATCCACTAGGATCAGGAGCAAGTAGAGAGTCAACCTAAAATAACGACAGGGAGAGTGGCTCTAAGAAAAAGTGAGATTACTTGGGAATGAATGACAAATTGTATATTAGTCCATTTTCATGCTACTGACAAAGACATTCCTGAGACTGGGCAATTTACAAAAGAAAGAGGTTTAATGGACTTACAGTTCCAAGTGGCTGGGGAAGTACACAATCATAGTGGAAGGCAAGGAGGAGCAACTAATGTCTTACATGGATGGCAGCAGGCAAAATGAGAGAAAAGCTTGTGCAGGGGAACTCCTCTTTATAAAACCATCAGATCTTGTAAGACTTATTCACTGTCACAAGAACTGCACAGGAAAGACTTGCCTCCATGATTCATTTACCTCCCACCGGGTCCCTCCTACAACATATGGGAATTCAAGATAAGATTTGGGAGGGGACACAGCCAAACCATATCAGATTGTGTGAAAGGAAAATAAAATCTCAGGACCTCAAACTCACTACTCAAAAGGAAAAGTTAAGCTTGGAAACTAAGCCACACAAAAAAACTGCCTTTCCTTTTGTTCCTAAACAGATAGGTATAAGATAGAAGGCCACATGTCTCCCCAGGTGGCCTCCCTCACCCTGACAATGTAAATTAACAGCTTATCTTCACAGGTGCGGGACAAAAGGAGACTAGAAATCATCCCCCCCACGCCCCTGTCAGACAAATGCATATTTGAACTCTTCCTCTACTCTCTGTTTATCTTATGTACAGATTTACTGAGTGCAAGATGAATATGTAATTGACTATTCCTCTACCCTGTCCTTTTCACATGGAACGTATGGATTCAGTGAGCTCTAATCAAAGCCTCAAAAGAATGCAATGGCTTATCTCACTTGTCTACCTTCCTTTTTTTCCCCTTTCTTCTTTCTCCTCCTGCCCACTTTTTCCCCTTTAAATAATGAAGTCCTCAAAATCTTCTTTGGAAAAAAGTGCATGCCACAGATCATACTGTGTCTTGTGTCTCTTCTTCTTGGGTGTGCCTGCAACCTTGGCAAAATAAACCTCTAAATTGATTGAGACCTGTCTGTGATACTTTCTTGTTTACAGTTGCATCCCAGGGAATACATGTACTATGGTGAACCATGGAGGGGGGCACTCAGAGAGAAAAAGGAAGGAAAGGGGTTTTAAAGGCAAAATGAGGAAGGCTACGTAAGTTGTTTTGAAAAAATTATCCTTGGCTACAAGGATTGATAACAAGGGTAGCATTATTCCAAGATTGAACAGGCAATTGCTGGGCAGGTGTCATTGCAGAAATATTCTTCGTGCATGGGTGTGACGGCCTTTGTGCAAGATTGTGGTTTCAGACAATCCTTGTTTTTTGTTGTTGTTGTTGTTGGGTTTTTTTTTTTTTCTTGAGACGGAGTTTTGCTCTTGTTGCCCAGGCTGGAGTACAATGGGGCAATCTCGGCTCACTGCAACCTCTGCCTCCCAGGTTCAAGCAATTCTTCTGCCTTAGCCTCCTGAGTAGCTGGGATTACAGGTGTGTGCCACCACACCCAGCTAATTTTGTATTTTTAGTAGAGACGGGGTTTCATCATGTTAGGTTGGTCTTGAACTCCAGACCTCAGGTGATCCGCCCATCTCAGCATCCCAAAGTGTTGGGATTACAGGCATGAGCCACCGTGCCCAGCCTCAGACAGTCCTTGTAATATTTTCTATCATAGGCATGTGTGCATGGGAGCCCCTCATTTATGGCCTCCTGAGTCCATTTTGCTAGGGTTTGGCATAAGTGACTCCAGTTTGATTTGGACAACTTGTGCAGAAGGATGCCCACTTTTGGTATTTCTATTCAACATAGTACTGGAAGTCCTAGCCAGAGAAATTAGGCAAGAAAAAGAAATAAAAGCAACCCAGATTGGAAAGTAAGAAGTATCTCTGTTTGCAGATGCTATTTATTTATTTAGAGACAGGGTCTCACTCTCATTGCCCAGGCTGGAGCGCAGTGGTGTGATTGTTATAGGACAGGGGTCCCAATCCAGACCCCAAGAGAGGGTTCTTGGATCTCACGCAAGAAAGAATTCAGGGTGAGTCCTTGGTGCAAAGCGAAAACAAGTTTATTAAGAAAGTAAAGGAGGGGCCGGGCACGGTGGCTCACGCCTGTAATCCCAGCACTTTGGCAGGCCGAGGTGGACAGATCATGAAGTCAAGAGATCGAGACCATCCTGGCTAACAGGGTGAAACCCCGTCTCTACTAAAAATACAAAAAAAAAAAAAATTAGCTGAGCATGGTGGCAGGCTCCTGTAGTCCCAGCTACTTGGGAGGCTGAGGCAGGAGAATGGCGTGAACCCGGGAGGTGGAGCTTGCAGTGAGCCGAGATCGCACCACTGCACTCCAGCCTGGGCAACAGAGCGAGACTCCACCTCAAAAAAAGAAAAAGAAAGTAAAGGAATAGAAGAATGGCTACTCCATAGACAGAGCAGCCCCAAGGACTGCTGGTTGCATATTTTCATGGCCATTTCTTGATGAAATGCTAAACAAGGGGTGGATTATTCGTGCCTTCCCTTTTTAGACCGTATAGGGTAACTTCCTGATGTTGCCATGGCATTTGTAAACTGTCCTGGCACTGGTGGGAGTGAGGATGACCAGAGGTCACTCTTGTCACCATTTTGGTTTTGGTGGGTTTTGGCTGGCTCCTTTACTGCAACCTGGTTTTTGTTGTTGTTGTTTGTTGGTTTGTTTGTTTTTTGAGACTGAGTCTTGCACTGTCACCCAGGCTGGAGTGCAGTGGTGAGATCTCGGCTCACTGTAACCTCCGCCTCCCGGGTTCAAGCAATTCTCCTGCCTCAGCCTCCCAAGTAGCTGGGATTACAGGCACCTGCCACCATGCCCAGCTAATTTTTTGTATTTTTAGTAGAGACGGGGTTTCACTATATTGACCAGGCTGGTCGCAAACTCCTGACCTCACAATCCGCCCACCTTGGCCTCCCAAAGTGCTGGGATTACAGGCGTGGGCCACCTTGCCCAACACTGCAAACTGTGTTATCAGCAAGGTCTTTATGACTTGTATTTTGTGCTGACCTCCTATCTCATCCTGTGATTTAGAATGCCCTAACCGTCTGGGAATGCAGCCCAGTAGGTTTCAGCCTCATTTTACCCAGATCCTGTTTACGACGGACTTGCTCTGATTCACACACCTCTGACACAATCATAGCTCACTGCAACCTTGACTTCCCGGGCTCAGGTGATTCCCTCACCTCGGCCTCCTGAGTAACTGGGACTACGGGCACCATACCACCATGTCTGGCTAATTTTTTGTAGTTTTAGTAGTGATGGGGTTTTGCCACGTTGTCCAGACTGGTCTCAAACTCCTGGGCTCAATCTATCCACCCACTTCCACCTCCCAAAGTGCTGGGATTACAGGTATGAGCCATGGCACCTGGCTAATAAGCTCTTATCTGCAGAAAACCCTAAATATTCCACACACAAAAAATGTTAGAGCTAATAAATGAATTCAGCAAAGCAGCAGGATACAAAGCCAATGCACAAAAATCAGTTAAATTTCTATGCATTAACAATACGCAATCAAAAAAGAAGATAAAACTTCCACTTACAATAACATCAAAAAGGCCAGGTGTGTTGGCTCATGCCTGTAATCCCAGCTCTTTGGAAGTCTGAGGATGAGAGGATCACTTGAGCCCAGGAGTTGAAGCTGTAGTGAACTATAATCGTACCACTACACTCTAGCCTGGGCAAGAGTAAGATCCTGTCTCAAAACAAAAAACAAACAAACAACAACAACAAAACCATGCAAATGGACAGCAATAAATAAATACATTAATTTAATTAAATAAAACAATAAAAACCCCCCCAAAAACAGTAACATCAAAAGGTGCTCAAGTTGTTACCAATTAAACTGAAAGTTCCAGCTGGGCTTGGTAGCTCACACATGTAATCCCAGTGTTTTGGGAGACCAAGGCAGGAGGATCCCCTGAGGCCAGCAGTTCAAGACCAGCCCAGTTAATATAGCGAGGCCCTGTCTCTAAATAAAAAAATTAAAAAGAAAAAAAAAAAAACACCTGGAAGGTCCCTTCACCCCAACTCCACTTCCACCCCCAACTTGGCGGCACATCTTTCCTTTCGCTCTTCCAGTCCATATTTCATAGTTGCCTTTCAAGTCCCACATTAGAAATAGCAGACAGCCCAAATCCCATGGTGTTTCTTTGCATCGTCTCCCTATACCCCGTGTTTAAATGTCACAGCGCCTCACACACAGTGCTTTGACAGGCCATTTGCCATCTGTTGGTCTCACCGGATTGTAATCTCCGCATGGCCATGGCTGGATTTTATAAAACGTTGCTGTCCTGGTGCTTGGCAAAGCGCAGGCAGGGAGGAGGCATTCAGAGCCTGTTCACAGAGGGCAGCGGGCAGCGTGGAGAGTGGTAGGCTGCCTGGGTAAACCAGGTCTGCCTTTCTCAGGCTGGTTCATACCTAAAGGACATTTAAGGGGCCTAGCTGGCCATCCAAACTCTGGTCGTATGAACTGAAGCCTCCTCAAGGGAGATACACAAAAAAATACACAAAACAACACGGCCTAGTGGGAAAGGACCTGGACTTGCATGAAAAGGTGCGGGGCAGCCTTTCCCAGCCTCAATTTTCCTCTTCTTACAGAGGCGGAGGCTCATAGAATGAGGTGCATGACATCCCAACCTAGGAGAAGAAACTTCTGCAGAATGAATCAGGAGCCAGGTCTGCGCTCCCGAGGCCAGAGGTGGCCTCCTGTCGCAGCTCTGTGCACGGTACGGCCACTCTGTGCCCTGCGTTTCGCCTCCAGGCCGGGCGGGAGCAGTGCCTAGCCCAGGTGTCCTCGACGCGAGCAGCTGGGCGCCGCTGCGGAGGGAGGGAAGCGCCGCGCCGGTCCCGGGCCCAGCGCTGCGCCCAGTCCTGAGGCGCCCTCCTGCGGCCGCTGCTCGGCGACCTCCCGGCCCTGCGGCCCCGCCCCCGCGGTGACGTCACCGCATTCCGGCTCCGCTCCTCCCGCCGCGGCGCCCGCACCGCAGTGACAGCCAGCCGGGCCCGGTGGCGGAGAGGAAGTGCGGTCCGCGCCAAGCCCGTCCCCGCCGACGCCGGCTCCCCCGCGGCTCGGGTGACAGCGTCGCGGCCGCCGGACGCAGCGCGGGGCAGGCGCGGGCAGAGCCGAGCGCAGCGGAGGCTCCGGCGGAGGCGCGGGGAAAATGGCTGATGACTTTGGCTTCTTCTCGTCGTCGGAGAGCGGTGCCCCGGAGGCGGCGGAGGAGGACCCGGCGGCCGCCTTCCTGGCCCAGCAGGAGAGCGAGATTGCAGGCATAGAGAACGACGAGGGCTTCGGGGCACCTGCCGGCAGCCATGCGGCCCCCGCGCAGCCGGGCCCCACGAGTGGGGGTGAGTCAGCGCGGGGCCTGGAGAGGGGCTCAGGGCGCGCACCCGGGGGACCCCGGCCGGGGCCCAGGGGCACAGGGAAGAGAGCCTGCTCTAGGCCACCCGGGGCAGGAGCTGGGAGACGTGGGGAAGAATCTTCTTGGAGATCTCCATGTAGGACTTCCGAGCTGGGGATGAGGCCTCGCCTGGGGCTGTGGATCTGGTGACTCCCGGGACAGGAATTCGGTCATGACATTTCATCCCCAGGCCAGCTTCCCCACTGCCCGGCTCTGGAATCCAACCCCACCTCAGTTTTGAGAGTCCCTCCTGAGCCTCCTAATAGCCTGGGTGTCCCAGGCTCCCAGCTAAGTGTGCAGGTGTGGGCAGAACACAGCCCTCCTGGCCCCTCAGGCTTAGCTCTCTCCTGCAGCTGGGAAAAAAGAGGATCCTGGGTGCTCCAGGAACTCACTAACCTTCCCCGGTGACCGCCTGGCATTCGGCAGTCGCTGGGCTAAGCGCCTTGGTTACATTTAATCACTTCATACACGTGATTGAACCCATTTCAGAGATGGTAAAACTGAGGCTCAAGGGAGTATGCTATTGAAATAACTAGTAAGTGGCAGATCAAGAATTTAAACCTGTTTCTTTTTCTTTTACATATATATTTTTTCTTTTCCTTTTTTTGAGATGGGGTCTCGCTATGTTGCCCAGACTGGTCTTGAGCTCCTGGGCTCAAGCAATCCTCCCACCTCTGCCTCCTAAAGTGTTGGGATTACAGGTGTGAGTCACCACACCTGGCCGTGAATTTAAACCTGTTCCTGTCGGACTTGAAGCCCTCTCCACCTGACCACACTGCCTACCAAGTGTCTGGCTCTGAGTTAGACACCGGAGTGTGGGCCACAAAGAGGCATCAGTCAGATGCGGTAGGGCCCTTCAGGGTTTTGTAGTTGTCGACTTAATGGTTTTCCAAAGGTGGTCCGGGGCTATTATGATTTACTGTGATTGGCTTCAGACCTCAGTGTTCAGGGCCTAGTCCCTGTGAAATCATCTTTATCAATGATGTTTCTGCCCTGGTTCTGGCTAGCAAGAATGATTTTGTAAAATATTTAGTAAAAAAGTAGATATCACCTTCATGGGTACATCCAAAACAGGTTTTACTTCCTGTTGATGTCATTTTGGAAAGGTTTATGGGCCTGTTGTAGTAAGTGCTAACATATATACATATAGACATATTTTGGTTAATGATGTTTACAAGGCTCTTCACAGTCATGTTTGTATCCATTCAACGTTTACTGAGCACCTACTGTGTGTCAGGACGCTGGGGATACAGAAATGAATAAGACAGTTCCTGTGGCTGAGGAGTTTGAAGCAACTCTGTATCTCCTTGATATGAGAAATGTAACCAGGCTTTTGTAACATGCAAGAAACCGGTGGCCCAGAGAATCTGAGTATCTTGCCCAGAGTCACACAGCCAGGAATGACCAATCTAGGACTTGATCCCACGCCTCCCAACTCTGGGCTCCATGCTCTTTCAAATGCTGTGGAGCCTGGGCAACATGGTGAAACCCCATCTCTACAAAACATACAAAAATTAGCCAGGCATGGTGGCATGTAGCTGTAGTTGTAGTTCCAGCTGCTCGGGAAGGCTGAGGCAGGAGCATAGCTTGAGCCCGGGAGGTGTAGGTAGGTCGCCGTGTGCTGTGATCACGTCTCTGTACTCCAGCCTGGGCAGCAGAGTGAGACCCTGTCTCAAAAAAAAAAAAAAAAAGATTCTATAGCAGTCACCTCCCTGGCAGGAGATAGGATGTGGGGTGAGAAGCATGGGGTCTTTTGCCACCTATCTGAGACAGCAATGGAGGGCTTCTGAAGTGGAAGCTTCCAGCACCTCAATACAGAATCTGCCGTGTCCCAGGGAATTCCTAAGAAATGCCTGCCCCAGTTAATGCACCAGTATTCACTGGACCACACCTCTGTGAGACCACCCTTTTCCTCAGTCTGGCTCACTGGGGCCTGTTGGGGTCGGGGTGCAGGGAAGAGGAGGGAGGCCTTGTGGGGAGGTCCTGCTGAGGGGAGCCATTGTGAGAACCTCAGGAGAGAAAAGATGGGATTCAGGCTGAGGGCAGCCAGATGCCTGAGGGAGCTGAGCAGGTTGTGGCCTCTCCCAGGATGGTGGGGCTCCAGGGACTTACAGTCTGGATGGCAAGTTCTGTCCTTGGCAGGGGTGGGGCACAAATTGGCCTCAGACCAGAGGTGACAGGGAGAGAAACAATGACACGCTCGCTTCTTCCAGGGAGGTGCCGGGGATACAGCCTTCTGAGGGTCTCCCAGGCGCATACCTGCTGACTCTGCAAAGGCTCAGCTGCCCTCCTTAGTTGGATCGGGGAGCAGGGAGGTGTTGAGGGATGGCGGCTCAGTGGATGGCCAGATGGGCTAGAATTGATCTGACCTTCTCAGCCTATGCAGTGCTGAACAGGTAATCTTCCCCTGACCAGGGATGTGTGCCAGGAGCCTGGATGGGGCAGAGAAAAAGCGCCCTGGCCTGCTGAGAGCTGGGCAAAAGCTGGCTTAGCAGCGGCCGCCAGTCAGTACCTCTGAGGCACCTTCTCTTAGATGTTGGGGTCCTCAGATTAGCAATCTCTGTGCTGACACTGGGCTCAGTTGCCCCTGGGGAAAGAGGTATCTGGTGTAGGCCTGTGCTGGAGCCACAGGGAGCCCCTCCTCTCTGGCTGGATCTGTGGCCCTGGGTGATCTGGATGATGGACACTTTGTTTCCATTCATCAGCCTTGGGTAGGTTTCCATTTTCACACCCAGTTTTCTGAGCACCAGGCCTGGCTCTGACTTGCCTGTCAGTTCTGGGCAAGCCCATTTCCCCCGCTGGGCCTCGTAAGCTCACAGGAATGTTCTGGACCCTCTCTGCCCTTGTTCCAAAATGGGTCAGGCAGCTGAGGGAAGCAAACCCTCAGGGGTTTATCCCTGGGACGTGTCTCTGTCTCAGTCCTGTTCTGCTGGCCTGTGAGTGTGGACTCCCGGTGGTAGATGGGCAGTGGGTGGGTGGAGAGCACTGTGGGAACAGGTACTTGGAATGCTGTGTAGGTGTGTGTGGACTCTTAAGGAGGCCGAAACTGCATGTCCAGAGGAACACTCTCGAGGCTGAGGCAGAGAGACTTTCTGAAGGTCAGGGTAGACCCCAGGCAGCTGTGTGTAGATGTGGGGTCTGAGACTGGGGTTGGTCAGGGCGGAGTAGGGTGGTGCAAATTCTCGAGAAGGCCAAATGTACAGACCGGCATCACAGGGAATAGACCCTGGTAACGTGAGGCCCTGCTAGAGGAGACACCCCAGCAGAAGAAGCCCCTTTGCAGAAGATGCTGCCACTGAAATGCTATTGGTCCCACTGTGATTTAGGGGCCAGGACACCCATGCAGGAGAAGCCTTATCTGAAGGAATGGGAGTGACAGCTGACAGAGTTGGTTGGAATCAATCACTGGTTGACTCTGAAAGCAAAGTCAATTATGATTTATGTCACCCGGGGATTATTTCCATGGGATTAAGTACCCTTCCCTTGAGTCCCCAGGCCAAACACACTGTCGCTGCTCACAGCCCTGTCTGGCTGGTGAAGGGCTATTTGTCCATCTGCCTATTAACCTCATGTGGCCTCCATGGCTTTTTGCTAGGAGGCACAGCAGTTTCTGAGAGCCTTGCAGATAACAGCAGGCCTCAAAACAACAATTCAACTTCCATTTAGCCAATAGTTACTGCTCACCCATTCCGTGCTGGAGCCCTGAGGAGCTGAATAGGACACGGAGCCTGGTAAGGGGGTACACACGGACCCTGGGGGTCATGAGTAATTGCACAAGAGGGTGCAGGATACTGTATGATATCCTGGGATACCCCGGAAGTGAGACCTTCCGTAAGTGCCTAGGGAAGTAAAGGAAGCAGAGGAGGGCTTCCCAGAGGAGGTGACTTATGAGCTGGACCTTGGAGAATAAATGGAGCCAAAAAAGCATTCTTTTTTTTTTTTTTTTTTTGAGATGAGTCTCACTCTGTCGCCCAGGCTGGAGTGCAGTGGCGGGATCTCGGCTCACTGCAAGCTCCGCCTCCCGGGTTCACACCATTCTCCTGCCTCAGCCTCCCGAGTGGCTGGGACTACAGGCGCCTGCCACCACGCCTGGCTAATTTTTTGTATTTTTAGTAGAGACGGGGTTTCACCGTGTTAGCCAGGATGGTCTCGATCTCCTGACTTCGTGATCTGCCCACCTCAGCCTCCCAAAGTGCTGGGATTACAGGCATAAGCCACCACGCCCGGCCCAAAAAAGCATTCTTTAGAGAGGGAAGCAGGAAGAAAGCATGGGGATGAGGGTGGTGTGTTTGGAGAAGGAGGAAACCAGAATTTAGGGTTTGTGGGATGGGCTGGTGGGAAGTGAGTCAGGAATGGGCAGGGCCAGATTGTAGAGATCCTCATGTTCCAGGGTTAGATGTACTTATCTGGCAAATATTTATTGAGTCCTTGTTATGTTCCAGGGACTGTTGTAGGTGGGCCTCATCATGGATGAAACCAAGTCCACACCCTCATGGAGGGTCTGTTTGTTGGGGGAAGACAGATAATAAACACATACACAAATAAACACAGCAGGCTGTAGTAAGTGCGCTTAATACTGCAGGAGGAATAGGAAGGGGTGCCCAAGGGGTGGATGGGGGTGTGGTCAGGGAGGCCTTTAATTAGGCAGCATTTGAGCAGAAGCTGAAGGGAGTGAGGGAGCAGCCTTCCAGGCAGAGGGAACAGCACCTGCAAAGTCCCCAAGGCAGGAGTAGGCGCTATAGGCCACTGTGGTCCATGGGAAGTGGATTTCTTTGGAGTTTGTTTTCATGACATTTTGAGTCAGAGGAGAGGCACAGGTAAGTGCATGTTTTACAGACTGTCAGCCCTGGCAATTGGTTTGAAAGAGGGATGGGAGAGGCTGGAGTCAAGGGGGCCTGTGAATGGGCAAAAGCCATGCAGTCGTTGTCTTTCTTTCATGCATGTATTTACTTGTTTATTCAACAAATAATTATTGAGCACCTGCAAAGTCACAGGTGCATGCAAGTCTCTGGGAAAGACACAGGAGAAGAGAAAGAGACACAGTTATGTCTTCCCAGGTGTTTGCCCCTAGCGGGCAAAGCAGTTGTGCAGGTGCAAGGTGGTGAGGTCCTGGGCTGGGGCTGAGCTGCGGGAGAGAGTGGAGGGCAACTGTGAATGTCAGTGTTGTAGCAGAAGCCCCAGGAATTTGTGACTAATCAAATGTCAAGGAAAGGGACAGGGAGGAGTCACTGCTGAGGGCAAACTTAATTCCTTCTGGGAGGGGCACAAAGAGAAAAAATATGCCAGGTGCTTCTGGTGGGAACTGCAACTCCTGCTCACCCAGGAGGAGCAGTTGCTCAAGGCGCCTCAGGGACAGGCAGAGACGCGTAGGCCCCTCTCTTCCTTATCCAGTGTAGCCCCTGCCCTGAGCTTACAGCAGCTCAGCCTACTCACCAGGCACAGGCTTCACAGGTAATCTGGCCATTCCCAGCCATGGCCAGGGGTCAGTGATTTCAGGTAGGTAAGGAGCTATTACTGGCTGGGTGATTTTGAGCATGGCCTCTCTGAGCCTCAGCTTGAGTATCTGTAAAATGGGTTGACAACAATTTCATTGCAGGGCTGTGGTGAACATAAAATGTACTAATGGCTGTGAGAGGCTTTATAAACAGTCAGGGGTGGGATTGAGCCTAAGTTATATATATATCCATTATGTCTGTTTGCATGTGGGTCGATATATACATGGGTATACACAGAGTTTGGGTTGAGGGGCTAATGTAGGACCATTTCCTGCTTGCTATAAGCTAAACAGTGAGTAATGCTATCTCCTTGTTCTCTTTCCAGCTGGTTCTGAGGACATGGGGACCACAGTCAATGGAGATGTGTTTCAGGTAAGCAAGGCTCTGTCTCAGCAGTGGTAAGGACCAACAGCCCTGGTCTCAGTAACCTAAAGCCTCATTGTTGTAGGCTTACAGCTCCAGGTTCTCCTGTTCATTATGTCTGATGCATTGGGGTGGAAACATAGAGAAAGGTTTTTGGAATTTTTTTTGTCATGTAGAGGGCAGGGAAGAAGAATAAGGACCACTAGAGATCGAGATTGATGGGCAGTAGCCTCAGGTTGCCCATGGTGATGTCTGGTTTTGGGAGGGAGAGGTCAAGTGGCCCACAGCAGCATGAGATGAAGGCAGCGCAAGGCCTTCCCTCACCACTGACGGGAGGCAGAACCCAGGCCATCTCCACACACAGGGCGGGCCCTTTGATCCAGAGATTCCACTTCCAGAATTTTCCCAAAGGAAATAATTGGACAAGGCCACCCAGATTCTTTGCAGGGTTATTTATAATGGCAGACAATTTGGAG
The DNA here is from genome assembly GCF_000001405.40 of Homo sapiens. Classification (NCBI taxonomy): domain Eukaryota; kingdom Metazoa; phylum Chordata; class Mammalia; order Primates; family Hominidae; genus Homo; species Homo sapiens. Next base: position 176,409,789 of record NC_000005.10, on the reverse strand, counting down.
ACAACCTAAGTGTCCAGCATCAGGGAACTGAATAGATAGATTAGAAAACCAGGCTGTTGTTAAAAAGGGCAATCAGGGCCGGGTGCAGTGGCTGACGCCTGTAATCCCAGCACTTTGGGAGGCTGAGGTGGGTGGATCACGTGAGGTCAGAGTTCAAGACCAGCCTGGCCAACATAGTGAAACCCCGTCTTTACTAAAAATACAGAAAATTAGCCAGTCATTGTGGCAGGTGCCTGTAATTCCAGCTACTCGGGAGGCTAAGGCAGGAGAATCACTTGAACCCAGAAGGTGGAGGTTGCAGTGAGCTGAGATTGTGCCATTGCTCTCCAGCCTGGGAGATGAGAGTGAAACTCTGTCTGAAAAAAAAAAAAAAAAAAAAAAAAGGGCAATCAGATCTTCCTGTATTGACGTGAAAAGATGTCCACAATATATTAAGTGGAAAAAGCAGCTTGCAGAATAATATACACAGTATGGTCCTTTTTTTTTTTTTTTTTTTCAATTTTAAAAATATGTTTGGGCTGGGCGTGGTGGCTCATGCCTGTAACCCTAGCACTTTGGGAGGCCAAGGCAGGTGGATCATGAGGTTGGAAGATTGAGACCATCCTGGCTAACACGGTGAAACCGCACCTCTACTAAAAATACAAAATTAGCTGGGTGTGGTGGCACAAGCCTATAATCCTAACTACTTGGGAGGCTGAGGCAGGAGAATAGCTTGAATCCGGGAGTGGGAGGTTGCGGTGAGCCGAGATCACGCCACTGCACTCCAGCCTGGGCAACAAGAGCAAAACTCTATCTCAAAAAAATAAAACTAAAGGTTTGCACTACATATCTGAAAGGATGTGTACCAGCTGTTAACAATGGTTAGCCCCAAGGGTGGGGTGGGATGGGGATAAGAAAGGGGCATTCACTTTCACTGGGTTGTTTACAAATTCTTTAAGTGTTTTTATCCTGCAAAAAACGAGGAAAACCCAGCCGGGCACGGCGGCTTACGCCTGTAATCCCAGATTTTGGGAGGCCAAAGTGAGAAGATCATGTGAATCCAGGAGTTTGAGACCAAACTGGGCAACATAGTAAGACCCCATTTCTGCAAAAAATGAAAAATTAGCTGGGGCAATAGTGTGTGCCTATAGTCCCAGCTACTCAGTAGTCTTAGGTGGGAGGATTACAGCTTGAGCTGGGGAGGTCCAGGCTGCAGTGACTATGATTACACTACTACACTTAGCCTGGGTGAGTCTTTTTTTTTTTTTTTTCCTGAGATGGAGTTTTGCTCTTATTGCCCAGGCTGGAGTGCAATGGCACGATCTCGGCTCCCTGCAGCCTCCGCCTCCTGAGTTCAAGTGATTCTCCTGCCTCAGCCTCCTGAGTAGCTGGGATTACAGGCACCCGCCACCACGCCTAGCTAATCTTTTGTATTTTTAGTAGAGATGGTGTTTCATCATGTTGGCCAGGCTGGTCTCGAACTCCTGACCTTCAAGTGATCCACCCACCTCGGCCTCCCAAAGTGCTGGGATTACAGGCACGAGCCACCGTGCCCGGCATGACAGTCTTAAAAAAAAAAAAAAGAGGAAAACCCTAGTAAGTGTATTTCTAGTTAAGACTGCTTCTGTCCGCACCCACCTAACTCTCTTCCCCTTGCATACACACAAATCCATTTTAGTACTCTGAGGGAACTCAGACCACAGAGGCATGCAATAGTCCTCACCTCGGCCCCCCAGCCAGATGCCTGGTGGGGCTAAACCTCCCCTCAGAGCCTTCATTCCCACTCAGACTGGGCCAAAGAGCCTTGATCCTGGGGTCTTTGGCTGTGGGATCTTCTGAGCCCCGCCCTGGAGGAGCTGGCTTCTTGAATCCTCTGGGGGAGTAAACAATACTTATTTTCTTATGTAAGAGGGATGGGCTGGTACCTTATGCAGGGAGACTGGCCAAGTCCTGTTTCTGGAAAATTACTCAACTATCAGCAAGCTGGAAAAGTCCATCTCTAGGACTTCAGCAGCTTCATGTCTAGTTGGGCCCGAGGGAGTCAAAGAATGAGGATTTGCTTCTGTGCAGCTTGGTAGATCATTAAGACTTAGGCTGCCCAGGCTCTCTGGCCACATTCAGAAGGACTTTGCTTGACCCCACAGTTCTGTGTCCTAAAGTGCACCTGGAGCTGGAGATATGCTTGGAACCACAGAAGTATGTAGAACATGGCCGGGCACAGTGGCTCACGCCTGTAATCCCAGCAGTGGGAGGCTGAGGTGGGTAGATCATTTGAGGTCAGGAGTTCAAGACCAGCCTGGCCAACATGGAGAAACCCTGTCTCTACTAAAAATACAAAAATTGGCTAGGCAGGGTAGTGGTTGCCTGTAATCCCAGCTACTCAGGAGGCTGAGGCAGGAGAACTGCTTGAACCCAGAGGCAGAGGTTGCAGTGAGCTGAGATCGCACACTGCACTCCAGCCTGGACGACAGAGCGAGACTTTGTCTCAAAAAAGAAAGTACCTAGAACACTCTGAGCTGGATCATTTACCTTTCCTAAAGATTAGCATCACGAAGCTCAGAGAGGTGAAGTGGTGAATGCAAAGTCACCCAGGAAATCAGCCACTTCTGGAGTGCACCCCATTTGACTTGGCCCCCCGCCTTCTCCCTCCCGACCTGTCAGCCGTGGGTGAGCTGTGGGTGAATCTGAGGAGCCCGGGGCCTCCTTTCCAATCTGAGTGAGAACTCTTATTCTCACTGTTACTAAGAATCACAGCAGGTGTGTTTATTTGTAAATCATATCACATCAGTGCCATCCGAGAATCCTTACAGGCAGGGCAGGGTCACAGATGAGCTGAATCACTCAGAAGCTTAGTGGCAAAGCCCCAGCTTGCCTACATCTCCTGGGCTCCGACCCGGTGTGCTTTGCATTACGACTCTGTTGCTGGAACTGGCTGGCCACAGCGCCTGGGTCACAGGTGGAAAGCCCCAGCTCTTTAGGATTGAGCATAGCAGGTCTGGCCTGCACCTGCAGGGGGAGGAGAAACCTTGGCCTGTGCACACCCAACACTTTCAAGGATCCCAGACAGAGCTTTTGTGCTTCCTTTCTTCCTCTTTTCTGCAGCCCGTGCACCACCAGCGGGTCCAGCTACAAACCCAGTTGCCAATACAGCCTAAGGACGAGCCTGCCCACAACTATTCCAGTTCCATTTGGCACAGCCAGGGGCAGGGACAGAAGGGCCCTGCAGGACTCCGCCTCCCCACCTCTGCACAGATCCTCTCTCCTTTCCCCTAATACTCCCATCATCCTCCTTTTAGCTTCTTAGAGGAATCAGCAGCTCAGCTTAGCTTAGATTTAGCTGATCAATCCCAAAGAAGGATGTGGCTCATCCTCTTGGCCATCCCTGGAGTCGCAGCACACGCTTGGCTGGTGTGGGTCCACAGAGGTTCTCATGGGTGGGCCCAGCAGAGGGGCCCCTCAGGAGAGGGATTCTAGGGAGCTAGACTGAGACAAGCCTGGCCCTGACTGTCGCCTCCTGCCTTCTGGTCCTGGCCATTCCTGCCCCTTTCTCTCTCCAGAGCTTGGGAGGAGTCAGAACATTGCTCTAGCCGCTGGTGATCTCTCCTGGTTGCCAACCCTCCTGGCCATGACTGATCTCCCCACTGAGATGCTCAGGTGATTAAACGAGAGCCCAGTTGTGGCCCGTGACACTGTCACTGGCAAGGGTAGGGGTGGGGACAGGGGCAGGAAAATAAGTTCTGAGCAGCCCGGAAATAATGAGTGGTGACTGCTTCTCGGGGCTTTGCCTGCCAGCAGCACCACTGTGCTCTCCTGGTCATGGTGCACGGAGGGCCAGCAGGTGTGGGGCCCTGCCACACCGGAACAGCAGGCCACAGCAGCCATGCTGTCCCTCATACGCACACGCCCTCTATGGGCTGCAGAGTGTTACCATAGCATCTCGTAAGCCTCACTTCCCACCGGTAGTAGGATATTGTCACTCATTTAACAGGTTTGAAAGCCAAGCTGCCCAGGGAAGGGACTTCTCAAAGGTCGCGAGTCCAGTGAGTGGCAGAAGGGGGATGTAAAGCCCAGCCCCTCTGATGGAGTGTCCAGCGCTCGTCCCGTGCCCTCCACGCCCCTGTGTACCCAGCTACTTGTTTATTCATTTGGTTTATACGTTTGGTCGTTCATTCATTTGGTCAGTGCACATTCTTTTATGGCCACACACCTGCTAGGGCAGTGAATAAACGGATATGGAGGCAAATCCACTGGATAGTTTGTCTCCAAAGAGCTCTCTTTTTTTTCTTTTTCTTTTTCTTTTTCTTTTTTTTTTTTTTTTTTTGAGAGACAGGGTCTTGCTCTGTAGTTGAGACTGGAGTGCAGTGGTGTGATCATGGCTCACTGCAGCCTTGAGTCTTGGGCTTAAGTGATCCTCCTGCCTCAGCCTCCTGAATAGCTGGGACTACAGGGAGGGCCACCATGCCTGGCTAATTTTTTAATTTTTTTATGGAGATGTGGTCTCGCTATATTGGCCAGGCTGGTCTCGAGCTCCTGGGCTCAAGCAGTCCTCCTGCTCAGCCTCCCAAAGTGCTGGGATTACAGGTGTGAGCCGCTGCACCTGGTCCCAAACTCGCTTCTAATAGAAGACAGGGAAAGAAGTGAAAGAAGTGAATGGGAGCCCAGGAAGGTGAGGGCTTGGCTTTGGGGAAGCATTAGGAGCTAACAGATTGAGTTCTTCTCTGTGTAGGCACCAGCCAAGGGCTTTACGTGCTTGATCTCCCTGAGTCCTCCCAACTCCCTGTGATGTTGGTTGTCATTATTCCTGTTTTATACAGGAGGTTTAACAGCTCGCTCGAGTTGTGTAGCTAGTAAGAGGTAAAACTTGAATCCAGGATCAGGCGCCAGAGCCTGCACTAAAGTTAGGGAATGCAACTGTGAGGGGACACTGGCAGGGGGTTCTGAGGCTGCCCAGGGGGATGTGGGTGGCCTTGGCCAAGGCCAAGGGAAGAGCATGTGCAAAGCCACAGAGGGTCGGTCACTCATTCCGGGGTTCACCGGAGCCCGGGACCTGCTGCACAAAGGGACGTGCCAGGAGAGGCCAAAGGTTTCGGGTGAGCCCTGCATAGCCCCCACTAGAGTGCATCAGTGGGCCTTGCAGCTGGTGGCAGGTGGCGGAGATGTGGGCCCAGTTTGGCCAGGCTTGGCACCTTGGGACTGGGGCAGGACACCGTGGGGGCTGAGTTTCCTTAAGGCTGTTCCCACACCCAGACTGCAGGCTGCAGCGGAGGTTTAGATGGAGTCAGAAGACCTGGACTTCACTTTCTGCTTTTTCCCAGCTGGCTGGCTGTGGGCTAGTCACTTAACTACTCTGAGCCTGGCTTCTCATTTGTAAAATGCGAATTAGAGGCTCCGCTCCGCTGCCCCAAAGGGCTGTGGAAAAAAGTGCTCTGCAGCCCCGGACGCTTCTCACAAACTCCTGACCCAGCCCCTAGGCGAGCTGAGGGTGGTGTGTGGGGGTGCGTCCCAGAGGAAGGCGGGCCATGAGACCTGGGGGCAACCGGAGCTGGGGACCCAGTCTCTAGTCTTGTCTTGAGAGGAAGACAAGCAGGCACACAAACTATGCGTCACAGAAGTGACTTTGGGCCCTATTAGCTACTATGTGGCGAGTCACACCCAGCAATTCAGTTTGAATCCTGGTTCTGCCACTTCCTGGCTGGGTGACCTTGGCTCTTTGGAGATAGAGTTTACCTACCTGTGAAACAAAAAGAATAAAACTTGGCTGGGTGTGGTGGCTCATGCCTGTAATCCCAGCACTTTGGGAGGCTGAGGCAGGCAGAGGAGGCCAGGAGTTTGAGACCAGCCTGGACAACATGATGAAACCCTGTCTCTACTAAAAATAAAACATTAGTCGGGTGTGGTGGTGCCCACCTGTAATCCCAGCTACCTGTGAGGCTGAGACAGGAGAATCTCTCAAACCCGGAAAGGCGGAGGTTTCAGCGAGCAGAGATCACGCCACTGTACTCCAGCCTGGACAACAGAGCGAGACTCTGTCTCAAAACAAACACACACACACAAAAACAGGCCGGGCACCGTGGCTCACGCCTGTAATCCCAGCACTTTGGGAGGCTGAGGTGGGTGGATCACAAGGTCAGGAGTTCAAGACCAGCCTGGACAAGATGGTGAAGCCCTGTCTCTACTAAAAATACAAAAATTAACCAGGCGTGGTCGTGGGCGCCTGTAATCTCAGCAACTGGGGAGGCTGAGGAGGAGAATTGCTTGAACCCGGGAGGCGGAGGTTGCAGTGGGCCGAGATCACGTCACTGCACTCCAGCCTGGGTGACAGAGCGAGACTCCATCTCAAAAAAGAAAAAAAACAAAACAAAAAAACACCAAAAAACAAAAAACCAACCATGTAGGGTTGCGAAGATTAAAGAAAGCCCTTTAAATGCAAGTTCTCTGGAGTCTTAATTTAGGGCAGGCTTGGCCAGGCGCAGTAGCTCACGCCTGTAATCCCAGCACTTTGGGAGGCCGAGGTGGGTGGATCACCTGAGATCAGGAGTTCGACACAAGTCTGGCCAACATGGCAAAACCCCGTCTCTACTAAAAATAAAAAAAGTAGCCAGGTGTGGTGGCAGATGCCTGTAATCCCACCTACTTGGGAGGCAGAGGCAGGAGAATCGCTTGAACCCAGGAGGCCAAGGTTGCAGTGAGCCGAGATCCTGACACTGCACTCCAGCCTGGGCGACAGAGCGAGACTCCGCCTCAAAAAAAAAAAAAAAAAATTAGGGCAGGCTTTATGGAGATGGCGGGCCCTGAAGGATACAGATGAAAAGAGACTCCTGTTCAGGGCCCCTCACCACTCCTCTCCTCCCACATCTGGCAGCATCTGTGTATCCATTTCCCAAAGGCTCCAGGCCCACGTGATTCTTACACGTGCTGGCTCTTGGCCTGAAATGCCCTTCCCCATCTCTCCTACTGTACTCTGTCCCCAGGCGAGAATGGTGCCCTCCCTTCCCCACTCTCTTTATCTGAACTGTGTTCCAGCAAGGTTCACGTTTCCCCAGCCATGGTTCTCATTTGTGAGGGACTCCCTGTCCCAACTTCCTGGAAGGTGTCTTGCTCGTCCCTGTCCCCAAGCCTGAACATCTATGAATTCATTCAGTATTCTTGAAAGGTTCCTGCAGCCAGGCCCTCCCGGTGCTGGGTGCTGTATGGAAACAGGCAGCCTCTGCCCTCATGGCAGGGAGGGAAGGGGGAGGACACAGAAAATAAACAGGTAAACAAGCCAAGGCCTCAATCAGGAGGCAGGGGAAGCCCTAGGAAGCTGTAGACCCTCGATTCTAGGGGAAGAATGTTCCAGACAGAGTCTCTGAGGGGATACAAGATGAGCTTGCATGAAGGCCAGTGTGGCAAGAGTGCACGAATAGAGGACAGAAATCAGAGGCCCAGGGAGAGACCAGATCACTTGAATTTTGTTCTAGCCATAATAGGGAGCCTTCAGATGTTTTATTTTATTTTTATTTATTTATTTTTTGAGACAGAGTCTCGCTCTGTTACCTAGGCTGGAGTACAGTGGCACGATCTCGGCTCACTGCAACCTCCATCTCCCGGGTTCAATTCTCCTGCCTCAGCCTCCTGAGTAGCTGGGATTACAGGCGTCCGCCACCACACCTGGCTAATTTTTGTATTTTAGTAGAGATGGGGTTTTACCACGTTGCCCAGGGTGGTCTCGAACTCCTGAGCTCAGGCAATCTGCCTGCCTCAGCCTCCCAAAGTGCTAGGATTATAGGCGCGAGCCACCGTGCCCGGCTGCCTTTGGATATTTTAAAGTGTGACATGATAAATCGGATTTAGACTCCGAATAGGTCATTCGGGCATTTTGTGGAGATGGGGCTGCAGGAAGCAGAGACCAGCAGTGGTCCAGGCCAGGGGCGGTGAGGGCAGGAGGGAGAGTTTTAGAGATTGTGATGACAGGCCCTGCTGATGACTTGCACGGGGGATGGGAAGGAAGGAGAAATCAAGGACGAACAGGAGGCTGGGGCCTCAGCACCCTCGGGAAATTGTTCAGTGTCGCTGTTTTCATTTTAACATCTGGAACAAAAATCCAAGAAAGCAAAGGAGGTTTTGTGAAAATGCTGTGCAACACAAGGCGAGCGAGTGAGTGACGATTGCAGGAGGCAGCCCCCACTGCCCTTTCTGATAGACCTAAAGGCTGAGGTCTCGATGCCATGTGGATGTCACCCTAAAGACAGTGCTCAGATATGACCCTCTCTTCCCTTCCTCCTCCCCTACAAGGGCACTGTGGTGCCTTTTTCTCAGACGGAGGGTGGGGCAAGTTTGGGGAATGAAAAGTGAAGTGACGTTCAGGATTCCTGTCAAAACACCCACATGGGCTGGCACAGAGAAAGGGCTCAGTACATGTTTGCTCAAGGAGTGGGGATTGGGTGGTGGTCAGATGGATGCCTTCATTGTATTTTTATTTTTATTTCCAACTTCTCTGACCTCTCAAGTCATTTCAGATAGAGGTAAGTGCTGGGAAGAAAATAAAATAGGGCACCTGGATAAACCCATATACACAAAGTAACAGTGCAGTTGTCTGCAGATGGAAGGCTCGGTAGGTTTGGGCAGCGGTGCTGGGAGGAGTCCCTGGTATCCTGGCCTCAGAGAAGCATTGTTCCCAGAAAGGAGCAGCAGTGAACTTGTGTTCTCCGGAGAAGGGCCCCAGAAGGGCCCACTGGGATGTTGGGAGAGAGTCTCTGAATTGCAATGCAGTGTTGTGCTGGAGAGGAGTAAGGGTGGCGCCCAGCTGCCCCGATGATCCCAGGAGCCAGGCTGCACCCCTGTCCTGGCCTGCCCTGGCCTGCCCTTCCCTCACTCCCCAGGCAGCTGGAGACTGTAGCCCTGATGTTCCATCTATGTGTTCCCTCTCCCAGAGCTCCTCCTTGAACCGGGTGCCTGCTGGCTCCAGGGGTCTTTGCTCATTCAGCCACTGCTTACTGAGCACCTGCCAGGCACTAAGGATAGGTGGGCGCCGTAGGACAGAGAGTGTGCCAGACACTCCTGTGTGGAGAAGATGTCAAACAACGCGGGCAGTCATGGAAGTTTTGATAAGTGCTTGAAGGAGGAGGGAGGGGAGACTATTGCTGGGAGGGGAGACAGAAGCGCCAGGAGACAAAGGCCGGGTAGCTGGAGTGGGATGCCTGCAGACAGGAATGCGGAGGGCGTGGGTGCCAGAGCGGGTGTGGCTGGACCTGGATTGGAAAGGCTTTGCCAGACCAGAGGGTGCCACACCCTTGTGAGCAGAGCTCACGGTGCTCAGCGCTTTGGGTCCCCAGCTCTGGCAAGGGGTGGGGAGACGTGAGCAGAGCCCCTGCCTGGGAGTCAGGGACCTGGACTCTAGTCCTGGCTCTGCCACTACGTTGTGCCATGTCTCTGGGCCTCAGTTTCCTCCCTTGTAAAATGGGAATGAATAATAATAGTAGTAATTCTAGCTACTATTCACTGAGCCATCACTCCACACCAAGCACTCTTCTAAATATCTCACAAATATTATAGTATTAAATCATAACAGCTCTTAGAGGTGTTCTTAATATTATTCCTTTTTTTCTTTCTTTCTTTCTTTCTTTTTTTTTTTGAGATAGAGTCTCACTTTTATTGCCCAGGCTGGAGTGCAATGGTGTGATCTTGGCTCACTGCAGCCTCCCCTGCCCCGCCCCGGATTCAAGTGATTCTTGTGCCTCAGCCTCCCGAGTAGGTGGGATTACAGGTGCGGGCCACCACACCCAGCTAATTTTGTGTTTTTAGTAGAGATGGGGTTTCACCATGTTGGTCAGGCTGGTCTCGAACTCCTGACCTCATGTGATGCACCCACCTTGGCCTCCCAAAGTGCTGGGATTACAGGTGTGAGTCACTGTGCCCGGTCTATTCCCATTTTTCTTTCTTTTTTTTTTTTTTGAGACCAAGTCTCACTCTGTGGCCCAGGCTGGAGTGCAGTGGCACGATCTCTGCTCACTGCAATCTTCGCCTCCCAGGCTCAAGCGATTCTCCCAAGTCCCAGACTCCTAAGCAGCCATTACACCTGGCTAATTTTTTGTATTTTTAGTAGAGACGGGGTTTCGCCATGTTGGCCAGGCTGGTCTCAAACTCCTGGCCTCAAGTGATCTGCCCGCTTCGGCCTCCCAAAGTGCTGGAATTACAGGCGTGAGCCACCGTGCCTGGCCTTTTTTTCCATAATTAAAAAAACTTTTTTGAAAATAGTGACAGACTCTTGCTGTGTTGCCCAGGCTGGTCTTAAACTCCTGGCCTCAAGTGATCCTCCTGCCTTGGCCTCCCGAAGTGCTGGGATTATAGGCATGAGCTACCATGCCCAGCCCCATTTTTCAAATGAGAAAACAAAAGTCAGGCAAGGTTAAGCAATTTCTCCCAGGCCTTACAAACATTTCATAGTATCAGAGGTGGCATCTGAACCGAGACAGCCTGGCTGCAGAGTCCAAGTTCTTTCCCATGGTGTGATCTGAGCTATGATCATGCTGCATATCTCAGGGATGCTTCTCTACTCAACAAACATCTACTGAGCATCTGCTGGGCCAGGCACTGTGCTGGGCTCTGGGGACATAGCAGTGAAAAGGACAGAGATGACATTCTGATGGCAGAGACAGACAAACACATTATAAAGTAAGGTCCTTTTGGGCTGGTCACGGTGGCTCAAGCCTGTAATCCCAGCACTTGGGGAGGCCGAGGCCGGTGGATCACCTGAGGTCGGGAGTTCGAGATCAGCCTGACCAACATGGAGAAACCCCGTCTCTACTAAAACTACAAAAAATTAGCCGGGTGTCGTGACGTGTGCCTGTAATCCCAGCTACTCAGGAGGCTGAGGTAGGAAAATCGCTTGAACCTGGGAGGCAGAGGTTGCAGTGAACCAACATTGCACCATTGCACTCCAGCCTGGGAAACAGAGGGACACTCCATCTCAAAAAAAAAGTGAGGTCTTGAGGTCTTTTTGGACTAAGTGTTAGGAGTTAATACAACCACAATAGAGAGTGATTTTAATGACGGTAACACAAGGGACTCACTGTGCCAAGCAGTATTTTTATTTTTTATTTTTATTTGTTTATTTTTTGAGACGGGGTTTTGCTCTTGTTGCCCAGGCTGGAGTGCAATGGTGTGATCTCGGCTCACTGCAACCTCTGCCTCCCGGGTTCAAGTGATTCTCCTGCCTCAGCCTCCGGAGTAGCTGGGATTACAGGCATGCACCACCACGCCTGGCTAATTTTTTGTATTTTTAGTAGAGTCGGGATTTCTCCATGTTGGTCAGGCTGGTCTTGAACTCCCAACCTCAGGTGATTTGCCGCCTCGGCCTCCCAAAGTGTTGGGATTACAGGTGTGAGCCACTGCGCCCGACATTCTTTATAATTTTTAACTCATTTCATCCTTATGTCCTCCCATCAGAGTGCATACTGTTATTTAGCCCATTTTATGACAAAGAAAGTGGCTGGCACACGCTTTCTTGAGTCTTCTGCTTTGGGGGTATCAAAACCTATAACTGGGCCAGAGGCAATGATCAGGCACAGAGAGGGTGAGTAACTTGCCCGCAGTCACACAGGTGGCGGAGTGTTGCTGGCAGAGGGAACAGCAAGTGCAAAGATAGGTGTAGTCACCAGAGACAGTGGGTATGAGGTTGTTTGAGGCTGAGTTATCCAGACATGAGTGGGTCCCCAGCAGGGGCAGCAGAGACAGCGGGGCAGGTGTGCTGGCTGGATAGACTGCTGCGTGTTTGTGTTCTAGGAGGCCAACGGTCCTGCTGATGGCTACGCAGCCATTGCCCAGGCTGACAGGCTGACCCAGGAGCCTGAGAGCATCCGCAAGTGGCGAGAGGAGCAGAGGAAACGGCTGCAAGAGCTGGGTGAGGGCGGGGCTGAGGCGGGGTTGGCTGGGTGGGCTGTGTGTGGGGTGGAGTGTGGGGAGTCCTCGGAGTGCATGGGATGCTGCATGCCTTAATGTGGGACTGGGCCGGTGCGGCCCTGTGGCTGCCTGGCAGGGGCCAGGGGAGGAGCGCGGCCGGGCCTGTGCATCCCAGCTGGAAAGCAGCCACTCATTCTCTTGTGGGGTCCTAGATGCTGCATCTAAGGTCACGGAACAGGAATGGCGGGAGAAGGCCAAGAAGGACCTGGAGGAGTGGAACCAGCGCCAGAGTGAACAAGTAGAGAAGAACAAGATCAACAACCGGTGAGAGGGCTGTAGGGACATGAGGGGGCCATGGGGACATGAGGGGGGCTGTGGGGACATGAGGGGGCCGTGGGGACATGAGGGGGCCATGGGGACATGAAGGGGTGGGGACATGAGGGAGCTGTGGGGACATGAGGGGGCCGTGGGGACATGAGACGGGCTGTGGGGACATGAGGGAGCTGTGGGGACATGAGAGGGGCTGTGGGGACATGAGAGGGAGCTGTGGGGACATGAGAGGGAGCTGTGGGGACATGAGAGGGGCTGTGGGGACATGAGAGGGGCTATGGGGACATGAGAGGGGCTGTGGGGACATGACTGAACACTGCCCAGTGCTCCCTGCCTTTGAGGCTCTGTCCTTCACGGTACAAGGTCTTCCAGGAAGGGAAAGGCCTGTTCTGGGAAGCTACCCTTCTGTCTAGGGAACTGCTGCATGCCAGGCTCTGGGGTAGGCACGGAGGAGATGGAGATAAGGAGGACCCAGCCTTATGTCCTCAAAGGGCGCAGAGGAGAAAAACACACATGTTCAACTAAGCTCAAATACAGTAGGGCCCTCTGCACGAAGGCCATGGAAGCAAGGAAACAGGTCAGGGAGAGACCTCTGTGTCTTGGGACTTGGGCTTTGGAAGATGACTAGGAGGAAAAAAGGGAAAAAAGGGCAGGAGGTAGGGGGGCATTCTAGACCTGGGTACGAAGAAAAAAATGTGATGTATTAGGCAACAGGGGGCCAGGGAGCGGTGGGAGAGAAGGCAGGAACCTGTGGACTCACACTGTAAGGGCCTTGGCTGATGAGTTGGGCAGTGACATGGGCAGTGGGGAGCCACTGAAGGTGTTTGAACAGGAGTAACATGATCAGGGATGAATTTTAGAGAAGGTGCTGGGGCCAGGGTGAAGGTCCCCATTCTCCTGTTTGGGGCTGTGGGTCGTTGCTGAGCCTTCCAGAACTATGCTTCCTAACATTTCTCCCACTGGAGGTACTAATGCTGTCTCTCTCTCTCTCTCTAACCTTCTGCCTGCCTGTCTGTCTTGCCATCTGCCTTCCCCCACCTAACCCCTTCCCTCAACCTTTCCCTCAAGGATCGCTGACAAAGCATTCTACCAGCAGCCAGATGCTGATATCATCGGCTACGTGTACGTGTCTGTTTTGCTTCTCTGTTGGGGGAGCTAGAGAGGGAATGGCCACCACAGTTTCTTGAGTTTCCTGCTTGTGGGATATAAATGAGTGTGGCTGGGCTCGGAGCAATGGTCAGAACAGGAGGCAAATGCCCTGGTGGGTGCAGGCAGCAACCACCTCCCTCCCTCCAGTGAAGTGGAGGCTGCTTGGCTAAATCAGAGCCTTGCAGGATAAAGGCAGAGAAAGGAATGTGCTTGCCACTTATTCCCATGTGGGAGGGGCAAATGGCAGAGCACCCCAACTCCCTCCCTCTGTGATGTCTCTTGGTGGGTGTGTGGGGTGAAGGGTTTTTTGTTTTTTGAGATGGAGTTTCGCTCTTGCTGCTCAGGATGGAGTGCAGTGCTGCGATCTCGGCTCACTGCGACCTCCACCTCCTGGGTTCAAGCGATTCTCCTGCCTCAGCCTCCCGAGTAGCTGAGATTATAGGCACATGCAACCGTGCCCGGCTAACTTTTGTATTTTTAGTAGAGACGGGGTTTCACCATGTCGGCCAGGCTGGTCTCGAACTCCTGACCTCAGGTGATCCACCCACCTCGGCCTCCCAAAGTGCTGGGATTACAGGCATGAGCCACCACACCCAGCTGAAGGGGTCTTTTATTCAACAAAACAGACACTGAGCATGGGATGCTGGAGGCATGTAAAGGACAAGAGCTGCTCCTTTGTGACATCCATCTCTTCCTCCTGCCCCAGTGCACTGACTTTGGCCATCAGCCCCTGCCCAGACCACCACAGGCCCCCTCACATGTTTCAGGTTTGGGGTCTACTTGGTGTGATGAGTAATCAAGACCAGGGTTGGCAAACAGGTTATATCTCGTGCCGACGTCAGTTAGTTGGTAGAGACATCCTGGAGGGTGGTGGTGGGGATTGTGGAGCTGAAGAGAAGGTACTTGCTGTTCTTCACTCTAGGTGTGCCCTGGCAGCCCGTCATGTGTCGAGGCTAAGCCTCCTCTCACAGGGCACAGAGCACACCAGAGCCTTCGTCTGCTTCCTTCCACTCTCCCTCATTTAGTACTCTTTGGCACTCGCCTTGTGCCAGATTGGTAAGACACCCACAGGCCGCCCCCCTCACCGTGCTCATGGTCTGGAGTGTGTTATGATAAGGGCCTTGTGGAAGGACACAGTGAGCTCTGGAAGCCACTCTCTGCCTGGGGAGCCTGGGCAGGCTTCAGAGATGCAAGACCTTCAGCTGACCTTAAAGTGTGAGAAGGAGTTTGCTGGATAGGGAGGGTGGGAAGAGAAGGTGGGAGGAGCAGCTGGGGCCAAGGCATCCAGAGAGAAAAGGCCCAGCTGGCTGCAGTGGCTGAAGCTCTACAGGCTGGGATGGTGGGGATGGTGGGGATGGTGGGGATGGGTGGGAGCTGAGGCTGGGAGGTGGTTGGCTTGGGGCTGGTTGCAAAGCGCCTGTTGTGCCAAGGCTGAGCTCAGACTTGATCCAGAAGGCAGTGGGGAGCCACAGGAGGCTTCCAGCAAGGGATGGGGATGTCAGATGGGCATGGGTGCTGTGGAATACCACAGGGGGCTCGATGCTTCTGTTGAGCCTGAGGAAATGGCCCAGAGAGCACCCAGGAGAGCCCTGAAGAGAGAGTATAGACCAGGGCTTCTCAAACTTTTTTTTTTTTTTAAGACGGAGTCTTGCTCTGTCACCCAGGCTGGAGTGCAGTGGCATGATCTCAGCTCACTGCAACCTCCGCCTCCTGGGCTCAAGCAATTCTTCTGCCTCGGCCTCCTGAGTAGCTGGGACTACAGGTGCCCGCCACCATGCCCGGCTAATTTTGTGTATTTTTTAGTAGAGACGGGGTTTCACCGTGTTAGCCAGGATGCTCTCCATCTGACCTCGTGATCCGCCCACCTTGGCCTCCCAAAGTGCTGGGATTACAGGCATGAGCCACCGCGCCTGGCCACACCCAGCTAATTTTTTGTATTTTTAGTAGAGATGGGGTTTCACCATGTTGGCCAGGCAGGTCTCGAACTCCTGACCTCAAGTGATCCACCCGCCTCTGCCTCCCAAAGTGCTGGGATTACAGGAGTGAGCCACTGCGCCCAGGCTCAAACTTTCACATGCCTATGAATTACCAGGGGGTCTCGTGAAAACCCTGATTCTGATTCAGCAGGACGGTGGGGAGGCCCAAGGGTCTGCATTTCTGACAGGCTCTGTCGTCATGCTGATGCCATTGGACCATGGACGCTTTGAGCTGCAAGGACAGAGGGGAGCCTCTGGACCCTGAAGGGACAGCTCCGAGGATAGCTCCCCTCATCCCCACTTGCCACCCAGCTCCACGCAGCACTTTCCTTTTTTCCAGACCTGCTTGCTACCTCATTGAATTCTCAGTCCAGTGAAATAGTTGGTAGGGCAGAGCTATGATCCTCATTTTACAGGCTAGGAAATGAGCATACAGCCAGCATCCCTAGAGAGGGGCCAGGTCACCTGATCCGGGGTCAGCTCTTCCATGGAGCGCTCCTGCCATCAGTCATGTCTGGCATCGGCAGAACTGGTCCTGCTTGAGATGGAGAGGGGGCTTCCAGGGACTTGTGAGCGACCCTCGCTGGCCAAACAGGACATAGACCCAGCTCTCCTCACCTAAGAATCCCTTATTGTCTTTCTGTTAGTGAGTCCCACGTGTAGATTTTGTCCACTAGACTGTATTTACTTGTTTCCCCACTGTCCCTTAGTCAGTGGCTTCTGTGACTGTCAACCAGAACTTCTGATGAAGGACCGCCAGTTTTCATCCTAACTTGATTCCAACCAAAAGCAGACTCCAGTGGAGCATTCATGCCCCAGGCTGTGGCTCCTCAGAGACAGTGGTGGTTCTGGGCTACAAAGGGCTCTGTGGTGAAAGACGCTTGGGATGTGGTGGATTCCATCACATACACACCTTGGAGGGTCACGACGCACACAGCACATGAAAGGCTTTGAAAGTCTTGCTGTAAAGATCCTCTTTAGCTGGGTTTTCCATAGGTATTTGACCACAGTCTTTCTGGAGAATCCTCACACAGAACATTCAGGCAATGCTGAACTAGGTGCTTCTGTTAGATGGTTAGTCAGTGTCCTACTTCTGCCAAGTTTTTGGAAATGGTGAAATAGCTAAGGTCCTGCATTAGGTCGTCCTAGGACCTCCAAGGGTCTTTAGGTGTCAGGAACCTCAGGTTGGGAACTCCCGATGGGGAAGTAATGAACAGAGGGTGCCTAGGCTGGGAAGACTTTCTGAGGAGGTGAGGCCCGCACTGAGACCTGAATGACAAGAAGCAGCAAGCCAGGAACAGGTCTGGGAGAAGCGTGTTCCAGGAAGAGGTGATAGCAAGTGCCAAGGTCCTGAGGCAGGACCAAGCTAGGCTTCCTCCTGCGCCAAGGCTGCCCTCCTCTGAAGTCAGGGGGGCACAAGGCTGGGGAGGACACAGTGCCCCAGAGTAGGCTGGGCAAAGCAGCCTTGCTCAAGGGCAAGGCTGGGGGAAAGCAGACTGCTATAAAAGCCCGTCCTATCTCCACCCGCAGGGCATCCGAGGAGGCTTTCGTGAAGGAATCCAAGGAGGAGACCCCAGGCACAGAGTGGGAGAAGGTGGCCCAGCTATGTGACTTCAACCCCAAGAGCAGCAAGCAGTGCAAAGATGTGTCCCGCCTGCGCTCGGTGCTCATGTCCCTGAAGCAGACGCCACTGTCCCGCTAGGTGCCTGCTAGGTGCATGGCCACAGAGCATGGGCTGGGCCTGGGCACAGGAGGAGCAGCTGCTTTGGTCGGGGTGGAGACTCGCAGCAGCTGCTACCCACAGCCTATTCCACTCCTCCCCATCTCCAGGCGCTGGGAGGGGGGCCCTCACCCCATCACGCCTCGCTCCCTCCTGGCCCTCTGGTCCAGCCCCTCACGCCTCCTCTCAGTCTACTCAATTGTGACTGTCCCTCCTGATGTATTTTTTTTCTTGGCTTAAAGGGTGTGTTGTTGACTCTTTTTACACTTATTTATTATCATTCTCACTTCTCTGGAAGCCACAACTGGTGTCAGGGCTCGGTTTGTGCTTAGAACTTTCCCAGCTTCATGACCTTGAGAGAAGGGAGAATGTTCCCCCATTTCCCAGCCAAGTGGGAGCCCCAAGCTCTCCATGTCTGTTGCCTCCACCTCCAGGAGGAAAGACAGCCTCTCGCAGAATGCTTTTGTAACCTCGATCCTTTAACAAGTCTGTGAGGTAAATTCTGTTATTCTCACCATATAACCAAGGACACCAAGGTTCCCAGAGGGGAAGTGGCTTGTAGTGGGAGGGAAAAGCGAGACCAGAGGTTCCTGGTGGTAGCTTCCTCCTAAGCCTGGGTAAGAGCCCTGAAGACCCATGAGACTCCCCTCCTTAGGGTTGGCTGGGACCTTCTGGATGTGGAGGGTCCACTGCCCTGTGTATTTCGCTTCCTCCTTCAACTGGGCTCATCTTGGATTTTGGATAAACAACCAGTGATCACACCTTCTTCCCCTTCAGCAGAGTTTGCAAACAGGACGTTCATGACCTGCATGATGTTTAAAAAGATTTGAGTAATTGCCAGTAAATATTAGCTTCCTAGGGCTTCTGTAAGAAGGTACATGAACTAGCTGGCTTAGAACAGAAATTTATTGTCTCATAGTTCTTGAGGCCAGAAATCTGAAATCAAGCTGTGGCAGAGCCATGCTCCCTCTGAAGGAGCTGGGGAAGGGTCTGTTCCACCTGCTTCTGGCTTCTGGTAGCCTCAGGCATCCCTTAGCTGGCAGACGCATCACCCCAATCCTGCCCCCATCAGGTGGCTGTTTGCACATTGCCTTCTAGGTATGTCTGTCTTTGTGGCCAAATCTTCGTTTTCTGTTTTTTTTCTCAAACAGGGTCTCGCTTTATCACTGAGGCTGGAGTGCAGTGGTGCAATCTCAGCTCACTGCAGCCTCAACTTCCTTGGGTCAGGCAATCCTTCCACCTCAGCCTCTCAGGTAGCTGGGACTACAGGCACGTGCCACCACATTTGGCTAATCTTTGTATTTTTAGTAGAGACGGGGCTTTGCCATGTCACCCAGGCTGGGCAAACTCCTGGGCTCAAGCAATTTATCCACTTTGGCCTCCCAAAGTGCTGGGATTACAGGGATGAACCATAGCACCCAGCCTAAGGTCAAATTCTAAGGCACTAGAAGGACTTCAACATTTTTGGAGGGGGACACCATGACACCAACACTTACAAACAGTGGTCATCACTCCATGTCCTTGTCTTGTATCTGGATGCCAAGGGTCACCACAGTGCACTGCTCTACATCTATCATCTCTGCCTCAAAGCTGAGAGAACATGGTGGAGGCAAGCAACTTAGCTGGCCCTAGTACAGCCCTCCACTGAGATCTAGACTGTTGGGGGGTTCAAGAAGGGGTGTGTCTTCACTCCCTTTTTCCTTCTGCCAGCTTGAAGCTGGTGTTGAAAACAGTACAATCACTCGGGAAGAGCGCAGGTCCTCAAATCCAACATTTGAGGAGCGCTGACCACAGACCAGGAATACTTGTTTGAAACTACATGAAGGAGGAACTAACAGGTCACCTCTCTTCTAGAGTGTGCTCAGGTCCTCAGCCTCCTCTTCCAGAACCCTCAAACACTATGTACACAAATCTCTGGAGAGCTTCGGGACTGTGTTCTTCCCACTGTACCAGACTGCTTCTCTGAGCCTGTTTCCTCTTCTATACTGTGTCAAGAACCAGATGGTCTAGGCTGGGCGTGGTGGCTCACGTCTGTAATCCCAGCACTTTGGGAGGCCGAGGTTGGGGGATTACCTGAGGTCAGGAGTTCAAGACCAGCCTGGCCAACATGGTGAAACCATGTTGTTTTAGTATTCTACTAAAAATACGAAATACAAAAATTAGCCGGGCGTGGTGGCACACACCTGTAATCCCAGCTACTCGGGAGGCTGAGGCAGGAAAATTGCTTGAGCCCGGGAGGCGGAGGTTGCAGTGAGCCGAGATTCTGCCACTGCACTCCAGCCTGGCTGACACAGTGAGACTCGTCTCAAAAAAAGAACTAGATGGTCTAGATCAGTGGAGCCCCATAGACTCTAGGGAGGTGGGAGCAGGGTGAGGAGGTTATGCGGAGTGGAGGGCAGAACCCTCTGCCTCTGACCCGACTATGGGAGGCCTCATCTGAAGGAAGGTTGTCCTACTGAAAGTCTGAAAAACTGCTGGCTAGACCAGTATTTTTCAAATGGCATTACTCTAGGCCCACTGAACTAGAATCTCAAGGAGTGACCTTGAGATTCTTTTTTTTTTTTTTTTTTTTTGAGATGGAGTTTTGCTCTTGTTGCCCAGGCTGAAGTGCAATGGCGCGATCTCAGCTCACCACAACCTCCGCCTCCCGGGTTCAAGTGATTCTCCTGCCTCAGCCTCGCGAGTAGCTGGGATTACAGGCACGCAACACCACGCCCAGCTAATTTTGTATTTTTAGTAGAGATGGGGTTTCTCCATGTTGGTCAGGCTGGTCTTGAACTCTTGACCTCAGGTGATCCGCTCGCTTCGGCCTCCCAGAGTGCTGGGATTACAGGTGTGAGCCACTGCGCCTGGCCAAATCTCTGCTTTCAAAGTGCCCTGGGTGGCTGTTACTAGGAAAGTTCGGGAATCACTAGACTACACGATTTCTAAGCACCACTCCAAAGTCCGTTTCCTCCAAAATCAAAGACCAAAAACCATGGGGATGATACTGAATTAAATACAAGTGGATTTTTAGAGTTTATTAAGCAGGGGAGTGGAGGGGAGATGTGGCACAAATAGAAGTATGTAACATTCAAACAACAGCATCTAGGATTTTTGAAAAAACTTTCGGTTACAGTTACACAAAGGGTCACTTCCTCCCCAGCGACACATGGGCCTCTCAAAGGAGAGGAGGGAGTAAGTCCCACGGTAGGGCCAGTGGTTGCTCCCTGGGTTTTGGAATCATTTCTGCGGAGCTTTCAAGGCCAGACCCTGGGCTTAGGGTCGAGACTTCATAGCAGTGACAGCCAGACCCAGCAAGATGGCTGCGACCGTGAAACCCTGGGCGGCGATCCGGGTGCGCATCATGAGCTGAGAGCGCTGGCTGTTGCCCCGGTGGAAGGAGTAGAGGCCGTAGGTGAGGGCGGCCGCCGTGGCCAGGCAACCTGAGGAGGGGACAAAGCAACTGGGAAACAGCAGGTCGGGCCCCGCAGGTCATTCCCCGCTTTGGGTCTCGCTTCCCCAAAGCCAAGATCTCTGGATCACAGCGGAGGGAGGGCGGCGAGGGTAGGTCGAGTCGAGGTCTTCCTAGTTACAGAGTCCTCCCAATCTTAGGCCCCAAATCCCGCCCCCTAAACCCGCTGCTCCCGCTCCAATCAGTTTCGCCCCTCACCGCCCCGCCCCCTCGTCTCTTCTCTAGTCCGCTCTCCTTCCGCTCCCCGCTAGCGCTCTGGTCCTTCTCTACTTCCTTCCCTCCGACATCACTGTCCTCTCCTTGTGCAGTTCCTACCGCACCCACTTACCTATGGGTACCACCGGGTTCTCGCGGGTCTTGCGAACGAACTTTTCCTTGAAACTCTCTGGATTCCTGTAAACAGTGGGGCTCAGCCCCTCAATGACTGGAGGCTTCGATGGTTCAAAGGGGACCTCCGGAATCACAGGGCCGGGAGTCGCCATGTCCGGGCCACAGCAGCAGGAGAAAATCGGGACTCCGACCTCAGCCTCCCGGTGAAGGTCATGAAAGGGGCGGGGAAACGAATAAATTGAGCCTTGTACGCAGGCGCAAATGCTCGTTGCATCCTGGGAGTCGTAGTGCTCAGCACGGTAGTGCTACAAAAGGACTACATTTCCCCAAATGCCCGCAAAGCCTTGTGCACGCCTTCCGGAAGGAGTTTGTTACACGAGGTCTGAGAGACAGAGGCAGCGTGTTTGAGCTGCTGGTGCGGTGGTCAGCGCGATGCCCAAGGCCAAGGGCAAAACCCGGAGGCAGAAGTTTGGTTACAGTGTCAACCGAAAGCGTCTGAACCGGAATGCTCGACGGAAGGCAGCGCCGCGGATCGAATGGTGAGGGGGCTGGGGTTCCGGGTGGCCGTGGGCCTCGGCCGGGACGGTCCGCGAGATGACGGATCCGCGATGTCTCTCTTTGCCGGTAGCTCCCACATCCGACATGCCTGGGACCACGCTAAATCGGTACGGCAGAACCTGGCCGAGATGGGGTTGGCTGTGGACCCCAACAGGGCGGTGCCCCTCCGTAAGAGAAAGGTACTGACATGGCAGGGTCTCGGTCCTTGTCTTCTTTACTCTTCCCCCGCCATACTGACCTAGGTGTCAGAACGTGGTACTGCCCATTCCTTCCCTCAGGCCCTTCCGAGTTTTCGACCTCCCCACAGTCAGAACGCTCAACTGACGTTGAGCAAGGGTCTCTTTACGACCTTCGTCACACTCCCTCCCCAGCACACATTCCCCATACCCCCTCTACTCAGTCTTTTTTCTCTGAAATTAACCCATTAGCATCTCAACGGTATTTTCCTTAATTTATCTTTTTCTACCCTTAACTTTCCTAATTAGTACTCCCTAAGAGTTGGAGATCTTTACTTACACCTTTTCTTTGTTATTCAATCATCCTTGGTCTGAGGCTTCCCTAGGCTTCCCTGACTGCAGTCTCCTTCCCGGGTTCAAGCTATATCCCACCTCAGCGTCCCAAATAGCTGGGATTATAAGCGTGTGCCACCATACCCGGCTGATTTTTGTGGTTTTAGTAGAGGCAGGGTTTCGCTATGTTGGCCAGGCTGGGCCTCAAGTGATCCGCCTGGCCCCCTGGAGGCTTCAACAACTATTAAAAGAATCCAGGTTCCCAAAAGAAAAGCAAGCAATTCATCTTTCTCTGCCTGCCTATCTATAAAATGGGTATAACACTCCTTGCCTTAGGGACTATCTAACTGTGTGGCTGTAGCCTCACATTTATTCAAGAAATGGTAGTGCCATTTTCCTCTGGCATGAAAGAATAAAAAGAAACTTGCCTAAGGCAATGGAACAAATTCATTCGCGAAGCCCATTCATTAGGTTAACTACTTATTGAGAACATGTCACATCCTAAGCACCCTGGGGATTTAATAGAGAACAAAACACAAAGTCCTTGTCACCAAGATTGTGTTGGGGGTAAAAGGCACAGACGGATTACTTGAGGCCAGGAGTTTGAGACCGGCCTGGCCAACATGGCAAAACCCCATCTCTACTAAAAACACAAAATTTAGCTGGGCATGGTGGCGCATGATTGTAATCCCAGCTACTTGAGAGGCTGAGGCAGGAGATCACTTGAACCCGGGGGGAGGTTGCAGTCAACCAAGATTGTGCCACTGCATTTGAACCTGGGCAACAGAATGAGACTCTGTCTCAAAAAGAAAAAGAAAAAAAAAAAGAGAGAGAGAGAGAAAAAGCCTCCAGGGCATTAGTTCTCATTGTTACCTACTTCTACCTAACCGTGGGCAGGGATTCTTATGGGTTAGTAGTTGTGTTGGGATAAGCAGGAGTCTATAACTTTCCCTCATCAAAGATCCTTCTGGTCTCAAGGGCTCTGTTCTCTGCAGGTGAAGGCCATGGAGGTGGACATAGAGGAGAGGCCTAAAGAGCTTGTACGGAAGCCCTATGTGCTGAATGGTGGGTGTGGTCCATATATTCCTTTAGGTCACTGTCCTGCACTGTGGGAAGCTGGGAAGGGCCCTAAGATGTCCTCATTTTGCAGATGGAGAAACCAAGTTTCAGAGGGGAGAAGTGAGCTGGTTCAAAGTTCACAGAGTTAGGACTGTGTCCTGGCTGGCTCATTTTTCATTGTACTGACTAAACCCTGACCTTACTGTGTGAACTAAGGTCAGAGATGTTTAGGGAGGATGTACCCAGGTGCCTGGGAGAATAGAAGAGAAACCAGTAAATCTCTGGCATGGGTATGGCTTCTCATGAATTTAAGGATGAACTGATTTTTAGGGATTCCACCATCTCAATAAATGTTCCAATGACAAAATCGATTTTATGTATATTAAGGCTATAGAGAGTGAACGCTAAAACGGAGGAGAGTAAACCCTACAGGAAAGTGGGAATACTCTAGAATTCTTCATTCATCCTTCCCCTTACCTGTCAGGGAGTTTAAGCAGCTCCCCTAAAGATAAAGGATTTGAATGGCCAGACATTTGATACAGAATTCCTTGAGTTCCTGTCTTTTATCTCAGTGGTTCTCATAAGAATTACTGCACAGGATTGTATATACCAAGCCATAGGCACTTACTGTAGTCAAAGAGGAACATTTTTAAAAATTTTAAAATGTGGTTAAAAAACACATAAAAGTTACCATCCTAACCATTTTTAAGTGCACTGTTCAGTAAAGGATATTGACTTTGTTGTGCAACAGGTCCCTAAAACCTTTTCATTTTGCAAAACTGAAACTATACCCATTAAACAACTCCCCATCTTCCTCTACCTCCAGCCCCTGGCAACCGTGTCAAAGATAATTTTGACTATATACAATATGAGGACCTAACCTCTGGATATGATTCGACTACTTCATTTCTCTGAGGTAGCTCTTTCTCTCTCTTTCTAGATGAGAAATGGAGTAGGATTTGCCTGTCTATTTTAAAAGTGAAGCCATTAGTTGGCTCCACATCCTGGCTTTTTCTCTCCCATGGAGCACTAGTAAGGTGCTGGGGCCCAGCCTCAGGCCCCAGACCCGGCAGCTCTAGATCTCATGTATTTAGACCGTCCCATTTCATGTGTTGCAATAATACATCAAGAGCTTCTCTGAGAGGCTTATAGCTGGAAGGGAGCCCTGTCCTGTGGGCAGGTATGTGCCTTCATCTCTGTCCTGAGACCTGCCACTAAGTAGAGGTTATTAGTCTGGTACCTTCCTTGTAAATCCACCTGAGGCCCGGAGAGAAGTGACTTCCCTTTCCAAAAGTTGCCATACTGGTAGATGAGTGGGTCATAGGAGACAGAGTCTGGGATCCAAGGGGCTGAAGGAGGTTCCAACAATGGATTTGGGAATGGGGAGGCAAAGACCCCCAGGTGGTTGGTGTGGTGGGTCTTGTGGCTTGGGAGTGGGTGAAGGGGTGATTGGACAGCTCAAAGAGCACAGAAAGCAAAGCCTCATTCCCTGTCTCCCCGCTTCTCTCATCACTCCAGACCTGGAGGCAGAAGCCAGCCTTCCAGAAAAGAAAGGAAATACTCTGTCTCGGGACCTCATTGACTATGTACGCTACATGGTAGAGAACCACGGGGAGGACTATAAGGTGAGCGGCTCAGGCCCCGTGGGCTGGCTGGGAAGGCGCCCTGGACCATTCGCGGCTTGATCTGCTTGCGCAGCACCTGTTTCCTGAAACCGAGTGCAAAGAAAGGGAGGCAAAAGAGACTCTAGGAAATGGATCCCATTGACAGGGATCTAACTTGAATGAATGCTTATGGCAAGGATAGACTGAGTGACCTTGGTTCCAGTCTCACTCACAGATAAATGTTTTGCTCGCATGGTGTTTTTTGGTTTGTTTTTGTTTTCAAGACAGAGTCTTGCTCAGTCACCCAGGATGGAAGTCTATTTTTGGCTTCCTTTAACAGTTGAAAGATCCGGCTACACTGGACCCCTGGGCCCAAGTAGGATTAGCTGGCTATGATGGGTCATGAGCTCCTCAGCTGGCCCCAGCTCCTCCCTGGCCCGCTGGACTCTCAGGCCTTCCTGGTCTTTTTTTTGAGACAGAATCTCGCTCTGTCACCCAGGGTGGAGTTCAGTGGTGTGATCATGGCTCACCGCAGCCTCATCCTCCCGGGCTGAAACAGTCCTCCTGCCTCGGCCTCCCAAGTAGCTGGGACCACAGGATGGTTAATTTATTGTTTTTGGAGAGACAGGGTCTCACTGGGTTGCCCAGGGTGGCCTGGAACTCCTGGGCTCAAGAGATCCTCCCACCTCGGCCTCCCAGAGTGTTGGGATTACAGGCATGAGCCACTGTGCCCGGTGCACCACAGCCTTTGAGGTCAGGATTCTGGACCTCAGGGATAGATAGCAAGTGGCTTGCCTAATTCAGGATGAGTTCAGATTTGAGCCTTTGCCTGTCTAGCCCTCCTTAAAGTAGCCCTTCTCCTCTTAGGCCATGGCCCGTGATGAGAAGAATTACTATCAAGATACCCCAAAACAGATTCGGAGTAAGATCAACGTCTATAAACGCTTTTACCCAGCAGAGTGGCAAGACTTCCTCGATTCTTTGCAGAAGAGGAAGATGGAGGTGGAGTGACTGGTTTACATCACAGCTGCCCCAGGCTGAGGCGTCCCCCGGACCAGTGAAGCTGGAGCCAGGGTGTAAGGCAAGGAGGTGCTGTGTGGCTCCAGAGGAGCTGGCCAGGTCCCATGGAATCAGAAGGTTACACACACACGTGCACACTCCCCGCTCTGGGGAAGGAACTGTTCTCAGAGGCTCCAATTTATATTCATCTGGGGGTTCACGGAAAAGCCAGAACCTGCTGTTTTCAGGGTGGGTGATGTAAATATAGTGTGTACATAATAAAGCAAATATATTTTACTTCTCTGATGATTTTGTATTTTTCTGCTCTCAGCCAAACCCTGGGGCTGCCCCGGTGAAAACCACCTCTACCGGGGCTGAGAGGCCATCCCGCCTGTCAGCAAGTGCTACGTTCACTTGCTCTTCTAGGCACGGCCTCTGGCCTCATCCCGATGGCTCTCTGCCCATTTCCCGCACAGCAGTTCCTCTCAACTCTACAGAAGCTTGCCGGCAACCCTGGGCTGTTTGGAAGGGGCCTGCCTTGCCCACGCTAGTCCCCCCACTAGGCTGGGGGCTGGTGGGGCCCTAGCCTGAGGCCAGCTGTGGCTTGACTGGCAGAGGGTAAGGAGCTCAACTCCTGGCCTGCCCTCTGAGTGACCTGCCTTCTCTGCTTTTCTTTGGATTGCTTATGTTGGCCTCGGTCTGAAGTGAATCCGAGGCCCCCAACCTGGCTTCTGGGACTGGTGGACTGCTGAATCCCACTCTGTTGTGTGCCAAGCAGTGGGCTACACATGGCATGGCCATCCTTTGGGGCCAGGCTTGCCTGATTCGGTGGCATGAGGTGATGTCCACAATGCAGCAGGATCACAAGCAGGGTATGGAGTGGGCCCTGGGCATTTCCTTATGTCCTGATACTTGATCCCCAACTATTAGTCATACAAAAACCTTATTCCCAGGGTTTCTCAGGATCGCCTATCAGCTGTCTCTTGTCGCTCGTTCTCAAAAAGGAGGGCTTGGTTTTTTCCATAGATCATTTCATGTGAAATCTTGTATGGTGCGTGGTTTTATCCTCATCTTACAGGTAGAGAAACAGGCTATAAGGTGTCAAGGTGGGGTTTGAAGTCTGTCCAACAACTAAGCCTAGGCTTTCTGCTTGCTGTCTTCCCCTTTAAGGACCCCTGAAGGCTGCCCATCAGTCCCATACCATCAAGGCAGGCTGGGAGAGTCCCAGAAGCCCCCTTACTGGAGCCAGCCGTAGACTCCAGCAATGACTGGCCCTCGGAAGCACACAGCAGTGCTTAGTCTGCAGTGGAGCTCCTGAGGGCCTATTTGGCCCCATCTTATGTCCTCCACAGGATTCCAAATTCAGGCCTTTGGCTGGGGTGGCCCCTTAGCATGTGTCTTTATGCAGGTGAGGAATGAACTTTAGGAAGCCTTCCCTACCACTAGCCCCACCCCTAGGCCATGTGTGTCTTGTAGGTTTTGTGAGACGGCCTTGCTCTTGTATCCCAGGCTGGAGTGCAGTGACATGATCATGGCCCACTGCAGAAGCAGCCTCAACCTCCCGGCCCAAGTGATCCTCCCTCCTCAGCCCATCCCAGGAAGCTATCTCTGGTGACCTCTCTTCAGAGGGATGGTAATAGGTCAGAGAATGGAAAATCAGAAGCCACTGCTTCATCTGAGTTACTTAAGAACAAAGGCCCCCAGTGCCAGGTGAGTGACCAGACACAGGTTCAACAGGTAAGTGTAGTGAAGACTTCCCTTCTATGTGAGGAGTGGACGCTCTGCATGCTCGCTGCCACCCACTCCCTCAGGTCCACAGCCTCCCCTCCAGCCATCTCTGTTGGAACATGAGAGCTGCCCAAACATTTCACTCTGTTCCCAAGCTCAGCTAGGTTGGCAGCTGTTGGGTTTAGGCAGTGGGGGGAACACAGTATCACCCAGGCTAGATCGTTCTGAGATGAGCAGCTCCAGGTAACTGGACTGGTTCCCAAGAGCAGGTGATTGTGGCTCCTGAATCACAAAGTCATATTCAGGAGCAGCTGGGTAAGGGCACCACAGAGCCAGTTAGGTGAGGTTCTTAAGGCCTGTTCACCCACTTTGCCCAGTCTACGTGTGGTAGAAACCAAAGCAGATGAGCACTGTGGCACTGTGCCTTGAGGACAGGCCAGCAGCCCTGCCAGAGGAGCACAGCTGCTGACCACCAACCCACAGGCTCTAGGACACCTACATTCTGTACCAGTATCAGAGAGCGGTGACACTCTGGATCTTCAGTGCCCTCAGTGTGCTGCTGGGACCTGAGGTTTTGAGAGTGGTCTTGATAAAAGCAGCTCAAGTAAACATAATGAAACTTTATTCTTCAAGTTCACCTCCCACAACTGGGGACTTTAAAAATTGTACAATATATTCATTAGACTCAGACAGATCTTCATTAGGTAAAAAGGGACCCCAGGGACCCCCTCAACAATTAGTGCTGGTTCCAAAGGTGACCTTTGTTAAGTTTGGCCTAAAGCTGCCTCTGTACATAGTGAATTATAACCTAACTTAATGTGTAAACACCCTGCAACCTGATGTAAGAGTCTACTCTTGTAACAAGTAGTCAGATCTCAGCCAACCATAGGCTGAAGGCTGCCAAAACATGTCCAAAGAAGGCAGACGCCAGACTGCAGCCAGTCAGGCTATCTCTGTATGCCAATTCCGTTTCTTTGCTTATAAATATAGCCTGCACACATTCTGAACCATCGCTTTTGGTCCTGAGCACTACCTGGTTCATGAACCCTTTTCTGCTCTGTTAAAGTTAACTTGTCTATAAAATTTTTCTTTTAACAAACTGGTGTCAGAAGTAGGATCCAAAGTATAACTTCAGCAACCTCCAGGAGCACTGAGTGACCATGCAAAAAAGGTATCTGCCAGGGCCCATTGTGCCCACTGACCCCTCACAGCAACTGGAGGTCATAGTGAGTTCTTCCTAGGATTCTGAGCTCCATAAATTTGTGTTTTGAGCTCTCCAAGTTTATCTGAGCAATTTTTACTGGACTGGGTCCTGGATTGGACTGCATCCCATAATAAACTGGATGGATCCAGTTAGAGGCATTGGGTAGGTTATCCTTTTGATAACGGGTTTGTTTCAATCCAAGGAGTCTGGGACTCCATCTAATTTTATATGTAAGAATTATGGGGCTGGGTGTGGTGGCTGATGCCTGTAATCCCAGCACTTTGGGAGGCTGAGGCAGGAAGATCTCTTGAGCTCACAAGTTTGAGACCAGCCTGGGCAACATGGCAAAACCCCATCTCTACAAAAAATACAGAAGTTAGTTGGGCGTGTGGTGGTGTATGCCTGTAGTCCCAGCTACTCAGGAGGCTGAGGTGGCAAAATCTCTTGTGCCCTGGAGGCAGAGGTTGCAGTAAGCCGAGATCACGCCACTGCACTCCAGCCTGGGCGACAAAACAACACTCTATCTCAAAAAACAAAACAAGTCCGGGTGTGATGGCTCACACCTGTAATCCCAACACTTTGGGAGGCCGAGGCGGGCAAATCACCTCACCTGCCTGGCCAATGTGGCGAAACCCCTCCCTACTAAAAATACAAAAATTAGCTGGGCGGTGGTGCACACCTGTGATCGATCGCAGCTACTCGGGAGGCTGAGAGGCTGAGGCAGGAGAATTGCTTGAACCTGGGAGGCGGAGGTTGCAGTGAGCTGAGATCGTGCCATTGCGCTACAGCCTGGGTGGTGACAGAGTAAGACTCTGTCTCAAAAAAAAAAAAAAAAAAAAACCAAAATTATGGACCCAGAACTTGTTTTTAGAAAAACAGGTTAACCTTACTAGGAACAACTTAGAATTAAAATGGCCACGATGAGGAAACTTTAAATAAAACTGTTTATTTATGGGACACATTAGAAAAGAAAGGATCGAAAACGCCACAAAAACAACGGGATGCATTTTAAATCGGTATGCAGAGGCATCTAAAGGATTATACAAATCTAAAATTGCCTAAAAGATTCTTTACAAAACGCAAATGAAAGGCTCATGCAGCACATGAACCTGGATTGCTCCTTCTCTGTCTCTTCTTTGCCTCGATGCTTTGAGTACAGTAACCCTTTTGCTCAGTTACCTTTTCTCCTTGAGGCTAATGAAAAAGGGGAAGTTGGACAAATGCCTTACAAAGTGAGACTCTCTAGTCAACCAGCCTGCCTGCTGTAACCACTTTTACTCCATGGTCTAAAGCTGAGCTTAGAGCCATCATAAAGACTTAACTAATCCAAGAGAAAATACTCAAAAACGTACTGGAAAATTGAGAATCCTCATAAGAGCTTATGATTCAGGACTCTCTAATCTTTACCAATTTATTCACATGATACTGGTGAAGCTTGAAAATTGACAGCAGGAGCAGAATGGCAACAGCCTGAGGATACTAAAGACCACTCCAAAACCCCAAGAGGAGGCAAAAAGGAACTGGAAGAATTGCTGAAGATCTTTTAAATTCAATCCCTAGGGCTTTTCCACAAAAAATTGATTGGTCAATCACATAATCTTGTGGGCAAAAGAAAGATGAACCGGTTTCAGATTATAGAGCTCATTTAGAAACACTACTTGTGAAACCTGCAGAGACAGAAATGGCATTAACTGCTCTATTTAAAAAGGACTTCATTCAGAACTTCGCAGTCTAATTAAGAAATATAACCAGGATGGAAAGTAACAGATATGGTTGCTC
This sequence comes from Homo sapiens, assembly GCF_000001405.40. Classification (NCBI taxonomy): domain Eukaryota; kingdom Metazoa; phylum Chordata; class Mammalia; order Primates; family Hominidae; genus Homo; species Homo sapiens. The sequence goes on along the minus strand of NC_000005.10, from coordinate 176,379,531 downwards.
TAGGATTTCCAACTTATACTGAACCCTTCACCTTGTTTGTTCATAAACATAACAATCAGGCATCAGGAGTTCTTACTCAAGAACATAGTTGACCCAGCACTTTGGGAGGCCGAGGCGGGTGGATCACCTGAGGTCAGGAGATCGAGACCAGCCCTGACGAACACGGTGAAACCCCATCTCTACTAAATACAAAAAATAAGCTGGGCGTGGTGGCGGGCACCTGTAATCCCAGCTACTCGGGAGGCTTATGCAGGAGAATCACTTGAACCTGGGAGGCGGAGATTGCAGCGAGCTGAGATTACACCACTGCACTCCAGCTTGGGCAAGAAGAGCAAAACTCCATCTCAAAAAATAAATACATACATACATACATAAAAAAGAACATAGTTGGGAAAGCACAGGCCCATCACATATCATGGCCTGCAATTAGACCCCATAGCTAAGGCATATCCCAATTGTTTAAAGGCAGTGGCAGCAACCCCCAGATTGGTAAAGGGTTCATCTGATCTGGTTTTAGGGAGTGAACTTTTTTTTTTGCAAGTTCCACGTGCTGTGGAAAGTCTATTAAATTCCAGTCAAACCCAGCATTTTTCAGCAAGTAGACCAACATCATTTGAAATTTTTTTTTTTTTTTTTTTTGAGACAGAGTCTCGCTCTGTTGCCCAGGCTGGAGTGCAGTGGCGCGATCTCGGCTCACTGCAAGCTCTGCCTCCTGGGTTCACGCCATTCTCCTGCCTCAGCCTCCCAAGTAGCTGGGACTACAGGTGCCTGCCACCACGCCCGGCGTGAGCCACAGCGCCCGGCCCCCATTTGAAATTATTCTTTGGCAAAATATGTCATTAAAACCCAAAATGAGTTAATAAAAAGCGGACTCTTCCCAGTTTCAGTCAGCTCAAACTGCAGAACTTTTGCTCTCACTTGAGCTTATCATATAGCTAAAGGGAAATCAGAAAATGCTATATACATAGCAGACATGCTATGTATATATACATGCCTTTGCAGTCCACAATTTTGGCATGTTATGGAAACAAAGAGGGTTTCTCACTTCTAGTGGAGCCCCTATTAAAAACAGACTCAAGTGGATGAACTTGCTACTATCCTGTTGCCATCACAAATTGGTATAAGTTCCAAGCTATCTTGAGTAAAGGTGAAAAATAAATAACAAATTCTTATAAGATTGAAGCCCATACATGGAAAGCTGAACCTGAATATCAAGGGACTGCCCTGGCAGATTTTCATGCTAAATCAGATAGTGCTGAAACAGTTAGGATGTGCAAATTGAATGAATGCCACTAGATTGATGACCTTTATGATGACCCATCTAACAGTGCAATGCACCTGATGTGGAAAACCAAAATTGTTATCTGACAGACGTAAACATAATGTTAAGCGTGAACTCATGGAGAGCCTAGATGGCCCCCTGGTCCTTCCTGAGCCCTTGAAACTTCTATTGTTAAAAGCTTTGCACTTGGCCAGGCACGGTGGCTCTTCCCTATAACCCCAGCACTTTGGGAAGCTGAGCTGGACTGACAGCTTGAGCCCAGGAGTTCAAGACCAGCCTGGGCAAGAGGATAAAACCCTCTCTATAAAAATTACAAAAAATTAGCTGGGGATGGTGGCGCACACTGGTAGTCCCAGCTACTCAGGAGACTGAGGTGGGAGGACTGCTTGATCTCTGGAGGTGGAGGTTGTAGTGAGCCATGATTGCACCACTGCATTCCAGCCTGGGTGACAGAGTGAGATCCTGTCTCAAAACAAAAAAACAAAAAACAACCTCTGCACCTCACAAATGAGCAAGATGATCCAGATTATAAAAAATACTGATAGTGTGACCACTGTAAAATGCTGAAATGGGTTATAACCAATATCTGGTTTGTCAAACCCATAATCCAGGGAAGATAATAAAAACTCCAAGTGGTGTATTTCCACCAACACCTGATGGACCATTTGAACGCTTACAGATGGACTTCATTCAACTGCCACCCTCAATTAAGTATCAGTATGTTCTTGTAATAGTTGGCATGTTTTCTGGTTGGATAGAAGCTTTCCTGTGTAGGAGAGCTGATGCTATGGCAGTAGCTAAGGAGTTATAAGAACATGTGTTTCCTTTATGGGGCATCTCTGGAAAAATCTCCAGTGACAGAGGAACTCATTTTATTGGACAAACTATGAAGCAGCTAAATAAAGTGTTAGAAACACAGTGGTACTACCATTGTCCCTTTCACCCTCAGTCTTCTGGAAAGGTCAAAAGGACAAATATTTTAAAACTAAAATTGGCAAAATTAACTGAATCGATTGGATTATCTTGGCCAAAGATACCACCATTGGCTTTGAATTTCATTTTTTTCTGATCTCTGAAGAAGAAAGCCAACCATTGCCTTTGGTCAGCAGATCAGATCCATTCCTACGACAGACACAGATTGACCCCTATGAAATAGTTACTAGAAAGCCTGTGCTCCTAACAGAACTTCACGTAGTTCCTACTCTCCTAAATGCTGATGCCACTAAATACTACAAAGCTGTAATGCATTATGTCACACTGTATTTTGACAAAATAAAATAAACTTTCTGTGACCCACAGAGGACCATCAAAGCCTTCACAATCTGTAACCTGAGACTAGGTCTTCTGGAGATGGTATCAGAGAAAAAGTGCCCTTAAACCTCACAGAAAGAGACAATACCAAGTTCTTCTATTACCCACACTGTGGTAAAACTTCAGGGCTTCGAACCTTGGGTCCACATCTCACAACTCAAAAGGACCTCTCCAGACTCCTGGAACTACACACCTGTTGGAGACTTTAAGGTAAAGCTAACCAGGGAAGTTTTTCCCCAGAAGCAGATCACGTCCTAGACATGAACAGCTTTCCCTAGATGTGGATGAAGACTTCACTGCAATCGCAAAAATCTTATCTTTCTCCCTCTCTTTCCTATTTTCTGTCCGCAAATCCTTTCCCTTTCTTTATGGGAAAATCCGTGGGACCATAATCTGGGGCCGGCTTTAGCAAAGGCTAATGCTCTAGCAAGAAACTGGAGTTCCTGTTGGGTTTGTGACTTAACGCTCAAATCAGGAAACGATTCCATTAATGCCAGTATCTCTCCATTTTCCCAATAAGTCACCCTGAAACCCCAAAGGAAGAGTGGAATGCTAACCTTTTTTTTTTTTTTTTTTTGAGACGGAGTCTCGCTCTGTCTCCCAGGCTAGAGTGCAGTGACGTGATCTCAGCTCACTGCAACCTCTGCCTCCCAAGTTTAAGTGATTCTCATGCCTCAGCCTCCCTAGTAGGTGGGACTACAGGCGCATGCCGTCACACCCAGCTGATTTTTTGTATTTTATAGTAGAGACAGGGTTTCACTGTGTTAGCCAGGATTGTCTCGATCTCCTGACCTCGTGATCCGTCCACCTCAGCCTCCCAGAGTGCTGGGATTACAGGCGTGAGCCACCGCATCCAGCAGCTAACCTTGATATTCTAAACACCACTACTGCTTGCTTCCCTACACTCATTGGAAGTGGTACCCTGACCTTTTCAATTAATAAGTGCCAATATGGAAAAAAACCTGTCCAGGTAATGCCTATGCAAGGAACACTGCCTACACCTATGCTTTCAGGCACCACATATTCAGGACCTGGGAACTACCTATGTGGCTCCAAGCGATTGCTTATATAATGTCACTGGGTTAAATCCAGTAGGGTTCCTTCTCACTGGCTGTGGTTATGCACCCTTACAGCATGCTATAAAGGGACCACATAAAAATAAGTTGCCCACTGGACCTTGTTTAGGAGCTGTGCAGACTTATGGGGGAACATAAGTGACCCCTGCTCAAATGCTACCAGGTGGCCCCCACTTTCCAGCTTCAGAGGGTACATATTAGGTCTGTGGATAATTTGCTTACTCTGTCCTGACTTCAGATCTTGCTGTTTCACCTGATTCATGCTCACCTTGCAAACAGCTTTCCCTGAAAGTCCCCATAATCAGAGGTCAAAGACTAAAATGAATACCAACCTTGAAACAGATGATTAGTTAGTTTCCCCTGAGCAAATATTCCAGTGGAGTTCCTGCGGACTCACTTTTGGCGGCAGTGAGGTGCCAACTGTATGGAAATTAAAGTTAATGCTAAATTGAAAAGAATTTTGTAGCACAGAGATTCGCACAGGTAGAAGCCACAGATGGATGGATGGATGGATGGATGGGTGGATGATGGATGGATGGATGGATGGATGGATGGATGGATGGATGGATGGATGGGTGGATGGATGGATGGGTGGATGGGTGGATGGATGGAAGGATGGATGGATGGATGGATGGATGGGTGGATGGGTGGATGAGTGGATGGATGGATGGATGGGTGGATGGGTGGGTGGGTGGGTGGATGGATGGGTGGGTGGGTGGATGGGTGGACGGGTGGACGGGTGGACGGATGGAGGGATGGATGGATGGATGGATGGATGGATGGATGAGGCCACCTGTGTTCAACAAAAACACGTAATGGAACTTCATGCAGCTTTAGATTTCCTTTGCCCAGCTAGGAGCTTGTGTATGGTGCTGAACAAAACTGAACGCTGTGCTTATCTTTCCTGATTCTACTACTATGGAGAGCTTCAAAAGGCGGTGGTGGCTGCCGCTTCTGTAGATACTGCCACCAAACACATCAAGGATATTTCTCAGGGAAAAGGAACACATAATGTGTTTGCAGGAGCAGCTAGTGGTTGGTTTGCAGGCATCCTGAATGGTAGACAGCAAGCTTAGCTGTTCAAGGTTTTCTAATCTTCATGTTTCTTTTAGTGGGTATCCCAATCACCATGACTTGTGTTACCAAAAGCTAACTAAAAAATCAAACACTTTACAATTAAGGTACTTCATAGTGAACTATGTCCTTAATTGCCATTATACCCTGAACAGGCTATGAGCAGCAGAGCTTGCACGCTGTTGAACTATTTTTATCGTCTGAACTTGAGTTGTTTGATTCCAATCAGTTTGGTTTGTGGAGACTCATATTAAGGGATGCATTCCAGTTTCTTGGTATTACACTCCTGATAGCCATCCTAAGGTCCCCACTGATGTGTTGTAGTCTTAAGTACACCAATGCAGTCATCCTTTGTACCTCAAATGGTCTCATTACGGTTAGAGTAACAGAAACATGAAGACATACAGAATCCGCTAACTGATTTAACATTGTAAACTGTGAGTTCCATAATGAGGTCAAATAGTGACAGAAGGTAGTGTCAGTGCGTGGGATTTTGGTCAATCTCTCAAAATTAAGGGGCTGAGCAAAATGAGGGACACTGTGAAGCTGAATTAAGTCTGGCCTAAAGCTGCCTCTGTACACAGTGAATTGTAACTTAACGTGTAAACAACTCGTAACCTAACCTAAAAGTATGTTCTTCTAACAAGTAGCCGAATTTTAGCCAATCACAGCAGCCAAACCTTCAGTCAATCGTCGGCTGAAGGCTGCTAAAACATGTTCAGGTAAGGCAAATGCCAGACTGCAGCCAATCAGGCAACCTAAGTTATTTTCGTTTCTCTGGCTATAAATGTAGCCTACACACATTGTGGGGCTGAGCATTCTGAACTGCTTTTGGTGCTAAGTACTAACCAGTTCACGAATCTTTTTTCTGCTCAAAAACAGAACATACTTTTTAAACTTCGTTAAAGTTGTCTAAGGTTTTTTTGCCTTCAAGCCCTGAAGAACAAGGAGTTCATAGAACAAAGGAGAAAAGTCTCTTAGCCTTCCAATGACAAAATGAAAAGCTGCCAGCAAAGTTTCAAAGGCTACTCTGAAACCCAAGTCATTCTTAAAATTTTACATAAAAGCCCATAAATCACTTCTTACTGCAGAAAGTGAACCAGCACTTTCAAGAACAGTGATTCTTCAAATGGCGCCCAAGGGCACAGCAGCCACTATTCCAAAGATCACACTCGCTTCTGGACTTCAGAATTTCCCACCCTCCTTGCGGCTTGTTGAACTGTTTTTATCATAGTTCCTCTTCTTACACTGGTCACGGTGTGGAACTGAGGCATGCTGGGTAAATGTCAAATGAAATGAAGGCACACAATCTCTATTCTCAACTAGACAGCAAATTGAGGTGCACAGCTCCTCTTAAAAAAAAAATCCATTTGTGGTTGTTGATTTAGTGGTCCCTAACAGACAACAGGCTCCTCTTTGCCTGTACCGATAATAAGTGTCAGTACAGAGCCAGTCCTTCAATTGGGCTGATCGCCAAGCACTGGAGAACTATGGAATGTGCACTGATGAGAACTCCAGAAATTCAGTCCAACTTGGCTTTCACTGGGGAAAAATTGGGTCCAGAAAGGCTGAGTGATGTACCCAAGGCCATCCCGTTGGCTGGTCTGCTATTCCTGTCCTTAGGATCACATAATACAATTTTTTTCCATCTTTTTACCTAGATTCACATAAGGGAAATCCTCTCCCAGAGTCATTTCTTATCTACCCAGAAGGAATTTGCACCCTTTCAACATCCTGGGCCAAGTGGTGGCGTTTCAGTTCATGTGAATCCATGTAAAGTACTATGATATCGACGACAGCCTCAAAGCCAGGTGGGAGGAGGAACCCACAACTTTGTCTCCACTGACATCTGTATGTTATCTCATTGTCATTCATGATTCCAGCTATTTTCCTAAGTTCCAAATTTTCTATGACTGTCATCTGGGGTTTTGAAAACAGCACCTAGAAACAGAGCCTAGAACTCTGGCCTGTTCTGCTTATAAATTAATAAATAAAATGCAGTTCTGAGGTCAACACCTAGCTCCAGTTGACTGTCGTCCCAGGGACACAGGCTCCTTCCTTCCCCTGACTTCTGTAAACATGGGCACTGGCACAGTTAGTACGAGAGCAGCAGCTTGTCTCCAGATTAGAGGGGAAAAACCCAGCCTTCACTTTTTCTGTTTGGTGGGTGAATATCAGTTATTCTGTAGTCAAGAGAGGCTGGCAGGCCAGGCCTGGGCTCAGGGAAAGGCAGGGAGGTCTTCAGAAAGCTCCTTGCTAGGATGGCCAGGTTCATCCTAGCACTTCACACTCCCATGGCTGGGAAAGGCATCTCCGAATTAGGAAACCACCTCCCTTTAAAAATAATGGCCCTGGGGTCAGAGAGGCAGAGATTGCACAAGGCCACAAGTCACTTAGGTGGAGCTGGGGCTGGACAATGCAGGACAGGAACAAAGGCTTGCTGTGTCACCACTCAGAAGCTGCCCACATGAGAAGGGCATGACGTCACCAGACTGTTTCTGGACTGGGAGACCTTGAGGCTCTAGGAGTATTTCTGACACCTACACTGGTTCCTCAGGTACCGGGACCTGTAGTGGAGGATTGAGCCCACTGAGCATCTCACTGTACAGGTAAGAGAAGGGAAAGCTGGATCCACATTCCAGCCTGGAATGAGCCAGACACTATCCTCCCCACCCTCTGTCTCACCCACCTCCCTGCTTCGGCTTCACGGCCACCTCACCAGGAAGGCTTCTGCATGGTTCTTGGCCTTGCCCAGGCCCTGCTCTTGAAAGGCAAAGGAGGGGAAAAGGGAAATGCTGCCATGTGGCTCTTGCCCCAGGCCCAGTCTGGCAATGAAGCAGCAGCAGTACAACTATGGTCTTGACAGGCAGGTGGCAAGCAGGAGAGCTCCAGCCTAGGAGAGGAGCTCCAAGAGCAGTTTCCAGATGTGCACGGTGCCAGGCTCTTCAAAGGTGGGTCCTGCAGGGGCAATGCTGGCTGCCAAGAGGAAAACCTCCCGCTGGTTATCGATAGCCTGTAGACCCAGCTCCCGCTGCAGCTCCCCCATACTCATGGCCTCGCTCAGGTCCTGGGTGAGACACAGAAGTCCGAACACAGCTGGCAGCATTTCCTAACACACTGACACCCTTGTCGTTCATGAAACACACTGTTCTTAGGCTATCCCCGGGAATATCAGGAAACACACTGTTCTTAGGCTATCCCCGGGAATATCAGGAAACACACTGTTCTTAGGCTATCCCCGGGAATATCAGGAAACACACTGTTCTTAGGCTATCCCCGGGAATATCAGGCCCCAAGTTCCCAGAAGTAGCCTCTGGACCCCTTGGCCTAAACTCAATGCTCTCTCCCTCACCCTGGGCTCTCCTTTGTACCAACCTCTTTTCATTGCATCATTAGCCACTGTTTTGAGACGGAGTTTTGCTCTGTCACCCAGGCTGGAGTGCAGTGGCACGATCTTGGCTCACTGCAACCTCCACCTCCTGTGGTGGAATCCTGAAGCGATTCTCCTGCTTCAGCCTCCCTAGTAGCTGGGACTACAGGTGTGAGCCACCACGCCTGGCTAATTTTTGTATTTTTAGTAGAGACGGGGTTTCGCCGTGCTGGCCAGGCTGGTCTCGAACTCCTGACCTCAGGTGATCCACCTGCCTCAGCCTCCCAAAGTGCTGGGATTACAGGCATGAGCCACCACGCCCGGCTAGAAATAGAGCACTTCCTATGTGTCAAGCATTGTAGATAGGCCCGTATATACTTCAGCTTATTTAATGTTCACAGTCCACACTTAATTGATGAGAAAAGTAGCTCAGGGAGGTGACATCATTGAGCTAAGGTAACAGTGATAGGTGGTAGAGCCAGGTGCCAACTCAGGTTGGTTTGATAACCAAGTTTCCTAAACTCAGTCATGGAGAGATGATACAGTAGGATCACTTCCAGACAAGACCTCTAGAAACTAGCTGGAGGAAAACAAGGGACCACTACACAGCATGACTGGTGATGGTATGTTGTAATTTCAACCCTGGCCCAAGATTTAAATGATTCTTCCTGGAGCAATTCAGAGACTGCTGGGACCTTAGATGTTGTCTCCTACAGGTTCAAAACTGCTATAAATTAGTTTATAAATAGGACATGATGTGATTCCTGGTCCAAACTGGGGCAATCTGAGGCTCAGAGCGGGCACTATTAATAGTGCCAGAACAAGAGTCGTAAATGGGGACTGTCTTGGACAGAAAAGGACATACAGTCACCCTATTTATAAATAATTGTCAAATGTTTCCTAATAGGTTGGGGAATCTGAGGTCGAAGACATACAGTCTCTCTCCATGTCAAGTTGGAAACAGGTCCCACAGCTCTCAGAGGCACCTGAGTTTAGGCCACAGGAAATATGATCAGACTCTGTACTCTGGCAGTTTCACCTGATATTGAGAATGGGACCCAAGGTCTGTGATACTGAGGGTTCCTGGGCCCAAGGCGACTCTCTGGCACCCAAGAGAGGTACAGCACACTGGTTAAGAGGAGGAACTTTGAAGAATATCTGAGTTCAAGTTTGGGCTTTGCCACATGCCAGCTGCAACTCCAGGTATTTAGTGTAACAGCAGGGCCTATCACGAGGTATTTAGAGGGAAGTGAGGTCATGATTGTCAGGTGCTTACCACATGTATGGCACACCGTAAGCACACAATAAATGTTAGCTGTTATTTAACCTGTTCTACCTCTCATCAGTTACCAGCTTCAGCTCTCTGATCTAGAGCCAGAATTTGCAAGGGCATAGCAGAGTGGAAAAGGTACAGCTTTAGCATTACACGTCCCAATTCCACTATTTTTTTTTTTTTTTTTGAGATAGGGTCTCGCTGTGTCACCCAGGCTGGAGTGCAGTAGTGTGATCACAGCTCACTGCAGCCTCGACCTCCTGGGTTCAAGTGATCTTTCTGCCTCAGCCTCTAAAGTAGCTGGCACTATAGGCAGGCACCACCACACCCAGTTAATTTTTTGCATTTTTTTTGTAGAGACGGAGTTTCACCATGTTGCCCAGGCTGGTCTCGAACTCCTGGAATCAAATGATCCACCTTCCTTGGCCTCTCAAAGTGTTGGAGGTAGAGGTTTGAGCCACCACGCCTGGACCAATTCTATTACTCTCAAGATGTACAACCTTGGAAAGATTATAAGACTAGCCTGTCCCATCTATAAAATGGGAATAGCATCCCATACTTTATAGGGTCAACAGAAGCATAAGAAGAAATGTTATTCAAAACCACACCTGGGGGCCAGACACAGTGACTCATGCCTATAATTCCAGCACTTTGGGAAGCTGAGGCGGGCGGATCACTTGAGGTCAGGAGTTCAAGACCAGCCTGGCCAACATGGCAAAACTCCACCTCTACTAAAAATACAAAAATTGGCTGGGTGTGGTGGCACATACCTGTAATCCCAGCTACTCGGAAGGCTGAGGCACAAGAATTGCTTGAACCCGGGAGGTGGAGGTTGCAGTGAGCCGAGATCACACCACTGCATTCCAGCCTGGGCGACAGAACAAGACTCTGTCTCAAAAAAAAAACAAAAACAAAACACCATGCCTGGCATATAGGAGGCACTTAATAATTATTTTTCTCATCTCTCCAGAGTACGAGATGATAGGGAGGCAAAGAGGAAGGAAGACAGAGGCAGGGATCAGGACAGGGCATAGGTAGAAGAGGTGGGGGCAGCATCTCAGCCACCCTCTCCAGGCCATGGGCCCAGGCAGCGCTCCTTGCCCCTGCCCAAGCATCTCTGAGTGGATGTCACCTGGACCGAGCTGCCCTCTCACAGCCCTCACCTGCTTGTTGGCCACCACGACGACAGGCAGGTCAGGGTCCTTGTCCAGCAGCTTGTGCAGCTCCTGTCGGGCCCAGGGCAGCCGCAGTCGGTCAGCCGAGTCCACCACAAACACCAGCACATCCACCTCGCTCACAAACTCCTTCCAGTAGAAGCGCAGGTTCTGGCTGCCCCCAACTGAGGAGAGGCCAGGGGCCAGCTCAGAGCCTCCCGGGCCCCCGCTCACTGCCCACAGCCCCCACCCCACCCCGGGCCCCCGCTCACTGCCCACAGCCCCCACCCCACCCCGGGCCCCCGCTCACTGCCCACAGCCCCCACCCCACCCTGCTTCTAGCTTAGTGAGCTTCCACCAGCCGGGGGCAAGGAAAAGACCGCAGTTTCCGCAGCTACTCAGACTGGATTTAGCTCTAGCTCTGATAGGCGGGTCTCTTGGGGCAAGTCCCTAGCTTTAAGCACCAGTCTCCTCACTGAACTTTCCTAACGGGTTGTTGCAGTAAAACCCACAGGTACCACGTGCGATGTACCTTTCACGGGACTGACACACAGGTGCTCAGTAAATGGAAGTCTTCAGTTCTCTCCCCTGGGTTGTCTGGCTTTGCCTCTTGCTAATTCCTAGCTTTCTCCTACAGGTTCAAAACTGTCAGTGATGGCTGTGACAGGAGCCAGGAGTCCTATTGTCTAGAAAACTCAGGACCCCCTGCCCTGCCTATACACAGCCATTCTCCATTCAGTTTCCCCCATCCCCTTCTTTTCCCTTGGAAATGTCATATTTCATCCTATGAACACATGGTTGCCAACACAGTCCCCCAGCCTGGATCACCTTTCTTTTCCTCTCTGCTCCTCTGCACAGTCCCATTGGTCACCCCGCACCCTAGTGTTTCTGGCTATGTTTCTGACACTTGAGGATTCTAAGCTGTGAGAGTCAGAGGCACTTACCTCTGAATCCCCACAAAGCCCTCAGCACAATGCCTGGCACATAGCAGGCACTCAACAAATATTTACTGAGTGCTTGCTAGGTGCCAAGCACTGATCTGGGTGCTGCAGATACAGAGGTGAGCAAGGCAAGCAGGGGCCCTGCACCAAGGAGCTCCCTCCCTAACTGGGAAGGACATGGCAATGACATCAACACATTTCAAAAAGGAAAGAAATAAAACAGAAAAAAGGGAAAGTGGCTGAGGTGGAACAGGGGTTGGCCCTGGATTGGGTGGTCTGGGTAGGTCTCATCAAGGAAGTGGCATGTGAGCTGAGTGGGATGATGAGAAGGAGCCAGCCATGGGAAGAGGCAGAGGAAAGCATTCCAGACAGAGGGGAGAGCATGCTGGAAGTGTCTGGGAAACAGAAAGAAGGCTGGGGTGCTGAGGCACTGCAAGAAGGAGAAAGAGATGGCTGTGAGGCTGGCTGGGGCGGGCCACATGGGGCCAAAGACCACAGTGAGGGGGTGGGGAGCCCCCCAAGGGCTTTAAGCAAGAGTGACATTACCTGACATGGGTTTTCTCTAGCTGACACTAGGGACAGAAGGGGAAGCAGGAAGACCAAAGAGGAGGCTGTGGTGCTGAGAGGAAAGATGACACTAGTTTGGGCCAGACAGGCAATAGTGGAGGAGGGTGTGCCACTGCCCACTGCCATTCCAGCCTGGGCGACAGAGACCCTGTCTCCAAAAAAAAAAAACTAGAATGGTGGGGTGCGATGGCTTACGCCTGTAATCCCAGCACTTTGGGAGGTCGAAGCGGGCAGATCACTTGAGGTCAGGAGTTCAAGACTAGCCTGACCAATGTGGTGAAACCCCCGTCTCTACTAAAAATACAAAAATTAGCCGGGCGTGGTGGCGGGCGCCTGTAATCCCAGCTGCTCAGGAGGCTGAAGCTGGAGAATCGCTTGAACCCGGGAGGAGGAGGTTGCAGTGAGCCGAGACAGCGCCATTGCACTCCAGCCTGGGTGTCACAGTGAGACTCCATCTCAAAAAAAAAAAAAAAAAAAAAAAGACTAGAAAGGTGGGTGACCTTGGATTCATGATACTACTGCTGGAACTCATTTTCCTCTGGAGATAACGAGGGTAGTGACCGATTCTAGTTTTATGTAATTGTTTAGGGGAGTTTTCTTAAGCAATGCCCGTCAAGTGCTTGGCATATGAACCCTTAGCTGTTAGTATCTCTGTGTTAGGCCTATCGACTTTGGTAGGGGTGATGGGGCAGGCGGTGCAGCTGGAGAGGCCCGATCACGAAGGGCCCTAAATGTCAGAGCACAGAGCGTGGGCTGAATCCTGTGCCCCGGAGAGCGGTGGGAAGGATTCGTAGAGGGGAATGTGCTGCTTAGACATGCATTTTGGAAGCCCCCTTCCCTGCAGAGAATCCAGGACTGGTCCAGTAGAGGAGACGGGGAGATGGGGTAGGGTGTCCGCTCACTTTCTAGCAGGTCCACCTCAAAGTCCTTGGTGGGCAGACGCACGGAGTTGAAGCCCCAGGTGGGGATGTGGCCTTCCAGCGGTGGCTTCCCCGACAACACGCGCAGGAACGTGCTCTTGCCTGCGCCATCCAGCCCCAGCACCAGCACCTCGCGCTGTTCCAGCTCCTCCAGCGCCGGCTCCTCGTCCTCCTCGTCCTCGGGCTGCGGGGAAGCGGAGGTAAGGTTGCGGCTGGCGGCCTCCCGAAGGACCTTTCCCGAGGGAAGACCGAAGGCACCAGAGGGCCCAGGCCCGCCTTCCACCCGTCCTGGGACAGGCAGGCATGGTCTGGATGAGTGGGACGAACGCCGCCTTTGCAGTCCTGAATTCCAAACCCTTGGCGAATTCCTTAAACGCTCGCGCGCCCCGCTTCCTCCACCGGTCTCGGAGTCCCGACCGCAGGCGGGAGGGGATGGGGTTTCTCCCGACATCCCCACCCCCGGGCGGGGTGCACTGCGCAGGCGCCGGAGGGGCGCGAGCCGACCCGGCTGGGCCCCGGGATGCTCCCGAGCCGCGCCCTCCAAACTCCGGCCCCCGCTGGAACACCCGAGCCTCATGGCGTGGAGCGACGGCGTGGCGCCAAGGCGCCGCACGCACCCAAGCACACCCACCCGTTCCTCGGTTCCCGGGCTCTGACCGCCCACCCGCGCGGGGCCTGTGCGCTGCGGCTGCCAAGCCCTCGACCCCCCAAGCTCCCGGCACCAGCAGGGCCGTTCCGTGGTCACACCCCTTGGCCACATGCGCGGAGTCGCAGCCCAGCCTGCCCGCCCTTCCGCAGGCCTCGGCCCGGCACTCACGTCCCACTCGTCCCACTCGGGGAGGCGGGCAGCCTCCGCGCCCCACCAGGCCTCTCCCCGGTCCCAGCGCCGCTCTCGGCCGCGGCCGAAGTAGGTCTTCCAGAGGATGAAGAGCACCGAGCCCAGCACCGCCGCGGCGCCGCCCAGCGCCAGCACCAAGGGGCCCAGCGGCCGCGGCGCCATCGGGCCGGGCGAGGGACGCAGGTGCGGGTTGCACAGGCCGAGCCCACTCGCCCGCCGAAGATGGCCCCGCTGCGACTGCTGCGGCCGCGCCCACCCACCCAGACCCAGTCCCGCACTACAAGCCCCACAATGCACTGCCGCTGTCACGGCAGGCCGCCCGGGACCCGGCGGCGTGGGTGGTGGGGCGCTGGCCGGCGCGCGGGGACCTCCGGTCCCCCTGCCAGGTGCAGGGTGGAGGAAGGAGAGGCTGTGCCTGGGGAGGACGGGAGACGGCGGTGCTTGCTAGCATCCACCAGGGGTTAGCTCACGGCTTTTCTCCGTTACCCCTTACAATGATACCACGCAGAAGGGAAAACCGAGGCCCAGGAGTTAAGTAACCCGCCCAACGCCGCATCGTAGTGCTTTGGTGTAGCCTGCGTTCAAACCCAAGCGATCTGTCTCCCGGTCATCCCTCAAGACCTCGGGAGGAAATTGAAGCAAGACGCCCGATATCACACGGCAGTGGGGTGGCAGAGGCAGGAATAGAACCCAGGTCCGTGGCTCCCCGCCACCTCTAGCCTTCTTTCGCTGCCTCCCGGACCACAGGGGTTTTGCTGGGGTCCTGGTCAGGCTGAATTAAGCAGTGTCAGGACTTCAGAATGTTTAGGGCTGACTGCCTTGTCCTAGGTACCCCCAGTGACTGCCAAGGCTTCCACGTGTGTAGCACGAGGAGGAAGAACAGGAGAAACGACCTGAGTACAGCAGTCGGGTTCTTTTGGCTCTCCAGAGGGGTGACGCCATGTACGGCTGGCTGTAGGGTACATGGGTCGAGAGACCGCCTGTGGCTCTCAGGGCCCAGCAGGGCTACCTCTTCCCCTTTATATTGTCTCAACTCTTCACCTCCTTTTAGTTTGCGATTCCTCTGTACCCCTGGCTCTGGGTCCCAGCCCCTATTCCTTCTGATTTGTCCCCCTTTCCCTTTGACTACATATATATGCTCCTCTCCTCCCAGATAGTGATGTTTTAGCTACATCTTATTTCTTCCGGCATTGATTCTTTTGAAAAATTTATTTCTGGCCGGGTGTGGTGGCTCATGCCTGTAATCCCAGCACTTTGGGAGGCCGAGGCAGGCGGATCACCTGAGGTCAGGAGTTCGAGAATAGCCTGCCTAACATGGTGAAACCCCATCTCTACAAAAATTAGCCGGGCGTGGTGGCACGTGCCTGTAATCCCACCTACTCAGGAGGCTAAGGCAGGAGAATCGCTTGAACCCAGGAGGAGGAGGTTGCAGTGTGCTGAGATTGCGCCACTGCCCTCCAGCCTGGGTGACAGAGCAAGAATCCGTCTCAAAAAAAAAAAAAAAGAAAAAAAAATTAGCTCCTCCTCAAAAATACACCCACTTAGAGGGGAAAACCCACAAAATTGCTAAGATTAAAAGTTTGGCTGGTGCGGTGGCTCACGCCTGTGATCCCAGCACTTTGGGAGGCCGAGGCAGCCGGCCGGATCACGAGGTCAGGAGATCGAGACCATCCTGGCTAACACGGTGAAACCCCATCTCTACTGAAAATCCAAAAAATTAGCCGGGCGTGGAGCCGGGCGTGGTGGCAGGCGCCTGTAGTCCCAGCTACTTGGTAGACTGAGGCAGGAGAATCGCTTGAAACTGGGAGGCAGAGGTTACTGTGAGCCGAGATTGCGCCACTGCATTCCAGCCTGGGCAACAGAGCGAGACCTTGTCTCAAAAAAAAAAAAAAAAAAAATGTTTACAGTCTATTATTTGTGGAAAAGAAATAGGTGCTCTCACATAGGTGCTATGCACCAAGACCATGACAGCTTCAGACATTGGTACCACAAATATCAGGGATAAAGTTTTTTTTTTTTTTGAGATGGAGTCTCACTCTGTAGCCCAGGCTGGAGTGCAGTAGTGTGATCTCAGGCCTCCCAAAGTGCTGGGATTACAGGCATGAGCCACCACACCCAGCCAGAAATAAATTTTTCAAAAGAATCAATGCCGGAAGAAATAAGATGTAGCTAAAACATCACTATCTGGGAGGAGAGGAGCATATATATGTAGTCAAAGGGAAAGGGGGACAAATCAGAAGGAATAGGGGCTGGGACCCAGAGCCAGGGGTACAGAGGAATCGCGAACTAAAAGGAGGTGAAGAGTTGAGACAATATAAAGGGAAAGAGGTAGCCCTGCTGGGCCCTGAGAGCCACAGGCGGTCTCTCAACCCATGTACCCTACAGCCAGCCGTACATGGCGTCACCCCTCTGGAGAGCCAAAAGAACCCGACTGCTGTACTCAGGTCGTTTCTCCTGTTCTTCCTCCTCGTGCTACACACGTGGAAGCCTTGGCAGTCACTGGGGGTACCTAGGACAAGGCAGACTGCAGCCTCCGTCTCCCAGGTTCAAGAGATTCTCCTGCCTCAGTCTCCAGAATAGCTGGGATTACAGGCACCTGTCACTACGCCTGGCTGATTT